>NC_000009.12:102917521-103069036 GCF_000001405.40 Homo sapiens
CTTTAAATGGTAATATATATTATAATGTATTAATTTTGGCAACTATTTATTTTTTAATCATGTTGCTCCTTTTCAAAATTTTCATTAATATTTGTACATTTTTTTAAAGTACCCTAAATTCTGTTGACATTATGGTTGAGATCTCATTGCTTTAATAAATAAATTTAATGAAAATATGTAAGTATAACTAAGATGTATATATTACATGATCAAATTATATATGTAGATATAACCAACCTATACACAAGTGATATATATTTGTATGTATATATGTGTATATGTATATTTGAGATAATAATCAAATAATAAAATTTATTACTTTAAATTATATAATTCAGTAAAATAAACTAACATTTAGTGTATTCAGGATATTGTAGAGCCATCACCTCTACATAGTTGCAAAACATGTTCATCACCCAAAGGCAAACTGCTGGGAAAGACAGCAAGGTAGATTGTTGCCCCTTGCATAGCAACCAAAGAGTGGACTTGGGGCTGGGGGATGTCCTTACAATTCAATAAAAAGACCTTACTGCCAGGGCTGGATGTAACTCTCTGCTTGGACATACTTTTCCTTCTTTTGGATTTGATGAGCAAGTTTTTTCTACTTAAGTGTGTAAATCATATGGTACCTGTCCAGCCTCACTGCTTTATCTGTTCCTGATGCGGTGGAAGCAGGGTCCTTCACCTGCAACACAAGAGGTGTGTAGGCAGACCATCTCCTTGCATCAGCTGCAAGGTGAAGTCTGCTGGCCTTGGGGACTGATGTTCATTATTGAAGCTGATCTTGCTTGGTCTCTTTTCTATATAAGCAAAAGTGTTCCATCCAGTGCCTGTGTGAGTCATATCTTTCTTGGTGACCCCAACATCTGTAAACCATGCACTGGGTGGCTATCGTGGGACTGTCACCCTCCTGTTGGAGGGCAGCAGGTCTCACTTGTGTGTTCTCTCTCTCCCATAAATATTACACACATAGACACACACAAACACACACAGATAAATACATATATATGCATATATATTCATGTAATAATAGATTTTTGAGGTAATATTCAGATAACATTAAATGAACCATTTTAAAGCATACGATTCAGTGGCATTAGTGCATCTATTGTGCCATGGAATCATTGCCTCCATCTAGTTACAAAATATTTTTTCCCAAAGGGAAATGCTGTATCCATTCAGCTGTCACTCACCCAGCTGTCCTCTTTGATCAGCCCCCGGCAACCATTAATCTGCCTTCTATATCTATGGACTTGCATATTTAGAATACTTCATGTAACTGGAATCATACATTAGACATCCTTTCATGTCTGCCTTGTTTCACTTAGCAAAATGTTTCTGAGACTTATCCATGTTGTAGCATGCAGCAATATTTCATTTGTTTGTATGGCTGAATACTATTCCATTTATAATTACATATGTTTTCTTTATTCATTTTTCAGTTGATGGCTACTGAGGTTGTGTCCACCTTTTGGAAATTGTCAACAGTACTGTTATAAACACTGGTGCACAAGCTTTTGTATGAATACCTGTTTTCAATTTCTTCTAGTACATATCTAAAAAGAAAATGGCTGAGAATTCTATGTGTAATTTTTTCACAAACCAACAAACAGTGTACCACACTGGCTAGTGGTTCACTGAGGACTTTTACATTCCCTCCAGCAATGTATGCAGGTTTCAGTTTCTCCGCATACTTTTTAATACTTTTGTTTGTTTGTTTGAGACAGAGTCTCACACTGTCACCCAAGCTGTAGTGCAGTGGTGGGAGCTCAGCTCACTGCAGCCTTCGCCTCCTAGGTTCAAGGGATTCCCCTGCCTCAGCCTCCCAAGTAGCTGTGGTTACAGGCGTGCACCACCATGCCCTGCTAATTTTTGTATTTTTAGTAGAGACAGGGTTGTGCTTTGTTGTCCAGGCTGGTCTCGAACTTCTGACCTCAAGCGATCCACCCACCTTGGCCTTCCAAAGTGCTGGGATTATAGGCGTGAGCCACTGAACCCTGTCTGTGTTTTGATTTTTAAATTACAGTTATACCATTACAGTTATACCATTGAAGTGTTATTGTGCTTTTGATTTACATTTTTTAATGACTAAAAATGTTGACTTCATTTTTATGTGCCTGTGGGCCATTTGTATGCCTTTTTGAAGAAGTGATTATTGAGGTCTTCAGCCAATTGTTTTAATTGAGTCGCTTGTCTTTTTGTTGTTGAGATGTACAAGTCCTTTACATATTTTGGGTACTAAACTCTTTTCATATATAAGATTTATAAATATTTTTCTCATTAAGTAGGTTCCTTTTCCTTTCTTATGTATTTTGATTTTCCATTTTTAATTTTTATGAAATCCAGTTTGTCTTTTTCCTTGTTGCTTGTTCTTTCGAAGTCATTGCCAAATCCAATGCCATGAATCTATTTCTCAATGTTTTCTTCTATGAGTTTTGCATTTTTAACATGTGCATTTTGATCTTTGATTTATTTAAGTTAATTTTTGCATATGTTATAATATACAGGTCCAAGCACGGTCCTTTGCATATAGATATCCACTTTTGGTAGAACCATTTGTTGAAGAGATTATTCTTCTTTTTTTCCTTTTTATAGATTTAGGGGATAGAAGTGCAGTTTTGTTATATGGAAATAAAGAGACTATTTTTCCCCCATTGAACAATCTTGCAACTCACCAAAATATTAATTTTCAATTTTCACTTTTTAAGTTTATTTTTAATGGACAAATAAACATTTTATATATTTATGATGTACAATATTTTGTTTTAAAATATGTGCACATTTTAGAATGACTAAACAAGGTAATTAACATAGGCATTATTTCTACCTTGATGTAATCACACACATCATTTTTTATGGTGTGAAAACTTAAAATGTGTGCAGATATCTTTCCCAGCTGGTGATTTATTTCTTAGATATATATCCAGTAGTGGGATTGCTGGATCATATGGTAGTTCTATTTTTTATTATTGGGGGGAATATCCATACTATTTTTAGTAATTATTGTACTAATTTACATTCTGATCAACAGAACACAGGGTTTCATTTCCTCCACATCCTTTCTAACGCTTGTTAGCTTAAATCTTTTTGATAATAGCCAATCTAACAAGTGTGAAGTGGCATCACATTATGGTTTTAATTTGCATTTTTCTCATGATTAGGGATGTTGAGCATTTTTTCATATACCTGTTGTCTATTTACATGTCTTCTTTTGAGAAATGTCTATATTTTACTGTTTCAAATATTCTTTTTTCTAGTGAATATTTTTGACATATTTCAAACAATATTTGCATATTTATTTTTAGGTTTACTTAGAGAATTTATTATAGTCTTCACTATTTTTAAAATAAGTGAACATTGCTATTTAAAAAATGGAAGTGTTTATTCATCTATACTTATTAAGTGACCACATGAAATTTATTTTGGGTTCTATTATTTGTTTTTCTTTTTTAAATTTTACACGTGCAAAATAATGCCAGGAATTAGTAATATTTTCTATTTTCTAATATTTATACCATGAAAATGGTATTGAATAGCAGATCTGTGATCCATTCACTTCCTTTACTGAGGGGATACTCTAAGGTCATATACACAAAACTCATAGAAACATGTTGCTAGCAGTCATCCAGTAAAATGATCTAGTGTTCATATCAGCATTATTCACAGAAAAACAGGTAAAAGGTAAAAACAATGCAAATGCCCATCAACAGATGACACAATAAATAAAATGTAGCATATACAGATAATGGAGTATTATTCAGTCCTTTTTAAAAATGAATGGAATTCTGATAGATGCTACAGCATGGCTGAATCTTGAAGACATCATGCTAAAGGAAATATTGTATGAGTAAAATTATATAAGATACCTAAGAGAAGTCAAATTCATATACACAGAAAGTAGAGTGAAGATTTCCAGGATGAGAGAGAAAGGGGAAATGGGAAGTTATTGTTTAAGAGCTAAAAAGTTTTAGTTTGAGAAGACTGAAAAAAAAGTTCTGAAGATGAAGGGTTGTGATGGTTGTACAGCAATGTGAATGCACAAAACTATGTATTTAAAAATAGTGAAGCTGGTCAATTTTATGTTACATATATTTTACCCAAATTAGATATATATATAATATATATTATACTTTATTATAATATATAATATATTATATTTTATTATAATATATAATATATTATATTTTATTATAATATATTATATATTTTATTATAACATATTATATTTTATTATAATATATATTATATTTTATTATTATATATTATATTTTATTATAATATATATTATATTTTATTATAATATATATTATATTTTATTATAATATATATTATATTTTAATATAATATATATTATATTTTAATATAATATATATTATATTTTAATATATAATATATTGTATTTTATTATAATATATAATATATTATACTTTATTATAATATATTATATATTATATTTTATTATAATATATTTTATTATAATATATAATATATTATATTTTATTATAATATATAATATATTATATTTTATTATATTTTATTATAATATATTATATATTATATTTTATTATAATATATTTTACTATAATATATTATATATTATATTTTATTATAATATATTTTATTATAATATATTATATATTATATTTTATTATAATATATATTATAATATATTATATATTATATTTTATTATAATATATAATGTATATTATAATAACATATAATATACAATTTATGCTATAATATGTATTTTATTATGATGTATAATACATTTTATTATAATATAATATCTTTTATTATAATATATATTTTATTATATTATATTATATTATATATGATAATATATTTTATTATAATATATAATATATTTTATTTTATTTTAATATATATTTTATTTTATAATAATATATATTTTATCTTATTATAATATATATTTTATTATAATATATAATATATTAGCTGGTCAATTTTATGTTACATATGTTTTACCCAAATTAAATATATATTATACATCATATATATCATATATATATATGTATATAAAAGACATTGTCTTCCAAAGTGAAAGCAGTACTTTCATTTTGTGCATACTTCCAAAAAAAAAATAAGAAGAACAAGAATCCTGCTCCAGTTTGTGTAAAACTTGCTTTTAGTGCCTGAGCCAGACCATGTCATTACCATAGATGTGTACAGTTCTCAGATACTACGATATTTCCATACCACTGTGGACAACTTACATGCAAAAGCCTGCAGTGAATGCAAGAGAATATTTCAGACTGAAGGGCTGTATCATTGTTTCACTTGAAGCAGAAGCAGCCAAAAGGGCTGCATCAATCATGACAGACTGAATGTGGAGTTTCCCTTGCTTTACCAAGAGAGATGGAGGTCCAGAGGATTGACTAGGACATTTCTGGTTGGGAATGTTAAATGTGTGGCCATCCCTGTGGACGACATGACTGATGCATAAGGCACAATATGCCACAAAGTAGACAAACCTACTCTGCTGAAGCCACTAAAGTATATGACACGTTTACTCATGGAATCTTATTTGAGCTAGCTATTTCCAGATAAAATACTTCTACTTTCGAAGCTGTTTACAAACTTCATTTCCTCAAGAAGACAAAATAAAACACTCCTCTAAAACTCACATTATTAATATTCCAGTGATTTGGCTGCACACAAGAGCAGTTTTGTCACTTAATTGTTTAACCATATCCCTCCATAACTTCAGAATATTATGATTTGTGACACTACACTTTGAATTATTTGTCATGTAGAACTCAACAAACTATAGAATAATTTTAAAACTGTAATTGACTATAGCTATCGCTAAGTTTGCACTTTGTAGGCTACATTTACTTTTGTAGCTAATTTTCACGTAACCTGAGAAGAATGCTATCAATGAAGATGAGGATGAAGGATGCTGAACAGCAGAGCTTTTGAACTCTGTGACCATAAATCAAAATAGTTCCTTGCTAAGATAGCTGTCTAGGTATGACATAGAGCAAATTGCTGCTGTCTTCCCAGTAAACAGTTTGTCACAGCTTAACCTATTTTTCCAAATATACTAAATGCATGTAAAATGTGAATGTGGGTGAATTTTAATTAACGAAGTGTAAATGGAAAGTAGGAAGGTTTGAGGAAGGTGGATATGAATGTGATTTGAGTTGTATGATATTACAGATAATACCCTTCCAGAGGTGCACAAAAGAAGTATATGTAACATCTCATGGCTATATTTAGGGATAAAAAATACTCAATCGACAGTAACTTCTATTTTTCAACTTTCTTCATTGTCATATGCTAAAGATATACACAGTAGCTTGATCAGCACTTTCCTCATCAGGCCTTTTATGTATATTGTGTTAACATTTAAAACATGTAATTTTATCGAGAATTTCATGATGTGATTAGCTCTGAAGGAGGATGAAAAAGTAGTGGGGTTTATATATGGGGGGAGGGTTGTCTACTGGTAAGGTACTCATTTCCAAAGCTGAGTACCAAGTATACTATATTATATTTATCAAAGTTTTAAAATTACATGAATTTGTAGTACATATTTAAAAATCAAGTTTCTTCTATTAGTTCATTTAGTAGTTAAATCTTTACAGGTAAATTTAATCCAAAATGACGAAACAGGTAATTCCATTTTACACAGAACAGAATATTTCTATTTTATTTTTATGTGTTCTATTAACTTTATATCCAAACCAGATAAAGACAGTAGGAAAAAAAATAAAGGCAAAAGACATTAATGAACTTAGTTGCAAAAATAATCGTGGCAAAGCAAATCGAGAAAATATTTGATATTATTTGAAAAAAAAGTACGTAATAGTCAAGGAAGATTTATGCCAGAAATGCATTTTTTTGTTAAACTTTAGAAAATCTGGTAGTTTAATTCACCACATTATTTTTAAAAATTGAAATAATATGGTTAACTCAAAAAATGCCAAAATATATGTGAAACAATTCCACAGTCGATGATGATAAAATTGCATTAAATTAAGAGGAGAGCTTGACTTTCTTAATTTCATTGAGGATAGCTATTTAAGTAAACAGCCATATGACAGAGTGCATAATTAGTGAACTACTAGATGCATTCCAATTAAAGTTAGAAACAAACAAGAAAGCTTGTCCTTAATGAATTATTCTATATATTCCACACTGTTTTTAAACTTTTTGCAAGTGCAAAAAGATGATAAAACAAATAAAGGTGGCTACAAACTAAAAAGAACACCAAAATTATCTGTATTTTGCAGTTGAATGGATGATCTACATAGGCAAATAAGCACACTATAGGGAAAAAAGTATAATTACATAAATGTAAGCATTCTCATTATAAGATCAATACAATAATAATTTATTTTACTCCTATTAACCAATAGCAATAGTTAGACATGTAATAACATCTAACTTTGTAATGAAAAATGTATGCAGAAAAACACTAATAAAATACATGCCTGCAGCTTATAATACATTTGGAAAAATATTTTTGAAGCTTTAAAATACAACAGACAATCAAAGGCAGATTTTTTATGGCTGGAAACACTCAAAATCATGATGGCATGCACTTCAAACAAATGGATCTATATATCCACTACAAGTCAATTAAAAGTTCCAAAATACGTTATTGAGGAATTTGATGAATACTAAAATTTATATAGGTGGGCAACAATCCAAAAATTACCAAAAATCTTTGAGAGAAGACAACTAAGTGGAAGAAATGTTTCTCTTGGTGCCATGATGCAGTTTTAAATAAATGTCATCAAAATAGTGTGGTATTAGATTGGGGATAGATAAATACTGTATACATAGCAGGTAAAGTAAAGGGCTCAGAAATAGATGCACACAAATATTTCTGAGCTAGCAACTTCTGTAAGAAGGATTTTCTTTTTATCTAGCACCTTTAAATGATAAGTCATTTTCAAACTACTTAGGAGCCAACTTGAAGAGACTTCTGCTGGTCAAGGATGTAATCATTTGAGTAGAAAAATCATGACAACTGCAGTGGATTGAAATGTATAAAATATCTTTACATTCTTGAGTTAATAAGGATATTAAAACAAATTCATAGTAATCTTTGGTGGTTTCTAGGGTTTCTATGTTTAAAAATTATTAATGATAAAAGGGAATAACCACTTATCCTTCATTAAAAAAACTTTGCATTAGGAGAGCAAAATCATTACTAGAGAAGCGTTTTTTAATTACAGATGCCAGCTTGTGAATAAGGAACAAATGTTCAAATTATATTACCACTATTTAAAAAAATTGAAGAAATATTGGACCTAGTCTTTAAGTATGGCAGTGAGAATCACACAAAAAAACTAGATTACTGGTTACTATATGCCTCCTGATAGAAGCAAACAGCACTTCCAATAAGTTAATCTTACCAGAAAAGAAAAGCTGACACTGAACAATATTTCAATTCTACCAAATGCTTTTAGAAAATACTGAGGATAGTGAGAAATATTAAATCATGCTACTCCTAAATTAGCCAAAGTCAAAATATAATAATAAGATATTTGCAAATCCAGAATATGAAAAAGTCTACCCAAGAAACCAAGCACAAAAAGGTTTTTCAACCAGTAAGTTGAAAACTCCCAGAATAGAATGAAATGAGCCAAATAGGTTTTCAAAGACTTTTATAAAACTTATCAAACAAATGCAAACCTACCATACCAATATGCAGATATGGAATGTATTTAAAGTTATTTTGAAAATTTTATTCATAAGATTATTGGGAAAATTTAAAAATTGACTAAAGACCTAATGGTATTAACTATTGATGAGTTTATTTAGGTTGAAAATGTATTGTCATTATGCATGAAAAAGAGCAGCTGACATTCTTTTAAAATTGCCTAGTAAAATATTATGAATGAGATTTTAGAGGGTCTGGGTTTGTTTCAAAATAAACTCGTGTGTTTCAAACTTGTGTTTCAAAATAAACTTGAGTGACTATGAGTTGTTAATTGTGGCACTACCACAATTGTGGTTGCTATATATTTCCAGGAATCAGAGTAATTTATATCACTTGAAGGTCTTGGGGTTAGCATCTTAATGCCTTTCAAATTGAACACTTTCTAGAATTTCATTTTCTAATACAGTAGCCACTAGGCATATGGATATTTAGATTTCAAATTTGGTTTAAAAACTCAGAACCAAAAAAGAGCCTCTATAGCGAAGACAATCCTAAGCAAAAGCAACAAAGCTGGAGGCATCATGCTACCTAACTTCAAACAATATTACAAGGCTACAGTATGGTACTGGCACCCAAACAGATATATAGACCAATGGAATAGAACAGAGCCCTCAGAAATAACACCACACGTCTACAACCATCTGATCTTTGACAAACCTGACAAAAACAAGCAATGGGGAGAGGATTCCCCATTTCATAAATGGCGTTGGGAAAACTGGCTAGCCATATGCAGAAAATGGAAACCGGACGCCTTTACACCTCATACAAAAATCAACTCAAGATGGATTAAAGATTAAAATGTAAGACCTAAAACCATAAAAACCCTAGAAGAAAACCTAGGCAATACCATTCAGGACATAGGCATGGGCAAGGACTTCATGAATAAACACCAAAAACAATTGCAACAAAAGCCAAGATTGACAAATGGGATCTAATTAAACTAAAGAGCTTCTGCACAGCAAAAGAAACTATCATCAGAGTGAACAGGCAACCTACAGAATGGGAGAAAATTTTTGCAATCTATCCATCTGACAAAGGGCTAATATCCAGAATCTACAAGGAACTTAAACAAATTTACAAGAAAAAAAACAAACAACCCCATCAAAAAGTGGGTGATGAATATGAACAGACACTTTCCAAAAGAAAACATTTTCATGGCCAACAAACACATGAAAAAAAGATCATCACTGGTCATCAAAGAAATGCAAATCAAAACCACAATGAGATACCTTCTCACACCAGTTAGAATGGCAATCATTAAAAAGTCAAGAAACAACAGATGGTGGAGAGGATGTGGAGAAATAGGAATGCTTTTACAGTGTTGGTGGGAGTGTAAATTAGTTCAACCCTTGTGGAACACAGTGTGGCGATCTCTCAATGATCTAGAACTAGAAATACCATTTGACTCAGCAATCCCATTACTGGGCATATACCCAAAGAATTATAAATCATTCTACTATAAAGACACATGTACATGTATGTTTATTTTAACACTATTTACAATAGCAAAGACTTGGAATCAACCCAAATGCCTATCAATGATAGAGTGGAT
The DNA here is from genome assembly GCF_000001405.40 of Homo sapiens. Taxonomy (NCBI): domain Eukaryota; kingdom Metazoa; phylum Chordata; class Mammalia; order Primates; family Hominidae; genus Homo; species Homo sapiens. The sequence continues at coordinate 102,927,770 of NC_000009.12, forward strand.
AAAGAAAATGTGGCACATATACACCATGGAATACTATGTAGCCATAAAAAAGAATGAGTTCACGTCTTTTGCAGGGATACAGATGAAGCTAGAAACCATCATTCTCAGCAAACTAACACAGGGACAGAAAACCAAACACTGCATGTTCTCACTCATAATCGGGAACTGAACAATGAAAACATATGGGCACAGGGAGGGGACCATCACACACCAGGGCCTGTCAGCAGGTTGGGGGAAAGGGGAGAGATAGCATTAGGAGAAATACCTAATGTAAATGATAGATTGATGGGTGCAGCAAACCACCATGGCGCATGTATAGCTATGTATACAAACCCGCATGTTCTGCACGTGTATCCCAGAACTTAAAGTATAATAAAAATAAATAAATAAATACAAAACAACTCAGTTCCTAGATAGTACAAGCCGCATTTAAAGGGCTCAACAGCCACATATGGCTAGTTGCTATTGTAATGGATAACACCAATATAGAATATTTCTATCATCACAGAAAGTTTAGAGAATAGTATTAGCCTAGGGAATTTCTTTTAATAGTCAATCACTGGTGAAAGTTGATACATGTAAGCTGTTTTGATAAGCTCACTAGGACATAGCTGTTATGTGATTAATATCATGCTAACTCCATGGCTTTTAATACAAAGTATGACTTCTAGCATAGAATTATTTTTCTTAAATCACATTTAAGACTCTGTATAGTGTGAATTTTAATCAATTGTGGTAAAATAATAATTATCAGAATAATAATCACCCTAATACTACAAACTTTTATACGTAATAGGCATAAGTTTATCGAGTTTAGTTAACGTATTCACAATTCCACAGTTAACAGTGGTAGGTAAATTGTCGTTCCTTCCTGTGATCTCCAGCACTAGGCAGGTCAAGATTATCCTCTCCCATAAATGAGATAAAAATATGTAAACACTTTATCACAGTGTTTATCATATAATAATCATTTACTAAATGAAACTTATGATTATAATTATTATAGTACTTTAGACATTTAATCTACCTGAATTGCTCAACTAATTTTTAAATGAAGCAACATGAGTAGAAAATACATATTGAATGTATTGTATAAGAAACAAAAATATAAATACATCAGCAAGTATAAATAAATAAGGTACCATTAAATGAACAGAGATCAAGGGATGAGAGAAATAATGAATAATTCAACTAAAACATATAATTATGAATGCTTGCTAGAGTCCTAGACAGATGGCACTGCTACTTTATAGCTACTGGTAGGATGTGATATTGCCATAAGCTTGGTAAATAATTCTTATATTGTTTATCTTCACAAAGTAAATTTTTTCAAATATTCAGTTCTGAGAAACTTTTTACTCTCATCATATAGTCTATTAGTTTTCCTTTCTTATTTTTATAAGGCAATCAAGTAAACATATAATGTTATTGTTACTGAATATTTCCAAGAAAGAACTTTATGTTAAAAATATTTTTCTGCAAAAAAATTTGCTTTGTATCAAGGAAGCTGATTCCCTTGGTGTCAAAAAGTCTTGGATATAAAATATTTGTATTTTTAATAAAGGATATTAAATAGAAATGACAAAAAGCATATTTAAACTTACATTTTAATTGATTTCTTTCCCATGGCCTGATTTTAAGGGCAGTAGTAAATTTGTGACCAGTTAAGAAGCAAATAGATTATAGAATATATCTGGAAAACTTGCAGCAAAGACTTGGAATCAACCCAAATGCCTATCAATGATAGACTGGATAACGAAAATGTGGCACATATACACCATGGAATACTATGCAGCCATAAAAAACAATGAGTTCATGTCCTTTGCAGGGACATAGATGAAGCTGGAAACCATCATTCTCAGCAAACTAACACAGGGACAGAAAATCAAACACCACATGTTCTCACTCATAATCTGGAACTGAACCATGGAAATAAAGTGTTTACATATTTTTATCTCATTTATGGGAGAGGATAATCTTGACCTGCCTAGTGCTGGAGATCACAGGAAGGAATGACAATTTACCTACCACTGTTAACTGTGGAATTGTGAATATGTTAACTAAACTTGATAAACTTATGCCTATTACATATAAAAGTTTGTAGCATTAGGGTGACTATTATTCTGATAATTATTATTTTACCACAATTGATTAAAATTCACACTATACAGAGTCTTAAATGTAATTTAAGAAAAATAAATCTATGCTAGAAGTCATACTTTGTATTAAAAGCCATGGAGTTAGCATGATATTAATCACATAACAGCTATGTCCTAGTGAGCTTATCAAAACAGCTTACATGTATCAACTTTCACCAGTGATTGACTATTAAAAGAAATTCCCTAGGCTAATACTATTCTCTAAACTTTCTGTGATGATAGAAATATTCTATATTTCTGGAAAACTGTTTTTGTGTGATTTTAGTAGACATAGAACCCTAGCATTTATAGAATATAAAATTGAGCATTCTCTGCTGTATTATATATTGTATCCAATGGCATTAAAAGTTATTTAAAGAATGAGAAAAAATATGAGTAGATTTAAATACTGGAAGAATATAAAATGGTAAAAAGCTGACAAAATTAGATATTGTTTACATTTCAAGTACCCATATTCTTTCTTGGGAAGAACAGAGTAAAACAAGACTACACAAATTAAATCAAAATAATGCATTCTAGGCGTTAAAGGTTTCTTGTTTTACTGCCAATATTGTGCAGCTGAAATTTTAAAAAAAATACATGAAAACACGTACAATTATCACATATAAAAGTAGACTATCATTTCTACCCCTTACAACGTAAAAATTAGCTAATGTAGACAAATGGGGTTATGCCAACAGTCATTACTCATAATCACTGATGTTGAAACGATCAGAATTTTATCCACACAATAGGAAATACAGAATATGTTGATTTCAAACTTCTCTAAAACAGAGAAGATTTACAATGTAAAATATCTGTATTAGATGCTGATGTCTTAAAACATTATAACCTAATTTGTGTCAAAATAAAAAAATTAGAAAATCAAATTAGTCTAAGAAAGTAAAAATTGAATATATATATATATATTCCCCAATGCAGTACTAATCATTTCAAACATTTGATATTTCCATTCACAAAATTTTTAGTATATTTCAGAATGTTGATACAGATCTTTGAGGCAAAATAAATATCAAGGAAGATAAAAAGAACTTGATTTAAAAATACTCATGGCTTCTTTTAAATTGGTAAAAATTTAACAAGATTTGTTTTCTGATTTAATACACTCTCAGTTGATAGTTGTGTTGCTATTTGAAACAATATGACTGATTTCTTTTTACATATCTTGCTTGTGTATTTGAATATTGGATCTTTTAGCCATAGAGAATCATGATTCTTATTTAATTTAAAGTGCTGTTATATTTTCTACAATACAGCATGATTTTTAAAAGGTACGTATCATTGTAAAATTAATTTGTTTTATTGCTGTCTCTCCCTTCACCTGTGTAGTTAATGGGAAAGGCCATGTTTTGCCCTTGTAAATGTACTTTCTCTCAAATTCTTTTCTTAATCAAAATATTAGTTAAAATTTTATGCTTCATGTTGATAAATGATTACAAAATACAAAGTAATGAGAAACACTATTCAAATGCAAAACATAAGTAATAGCAAGTTAGACATTTATTTATGTATTTATGTATGTATGTATATATTTATTTATTTATTTAAGACAAGGTCTCTCTCTGTTGTCTAGGTTGGAGTGCAGTGATGCTATCATGATCTCTCTCTCTCTTTCCAGCCTTCTATGTATTTAAATATAAGCTGCATTCATTTTTCTTTCGTTCCTTTTTGTTTTTTTGTTTTTTTTTTTGGTTTGCTTGTTCACAAGCCACTCATTTGCTTTTGTTGCCTGTCTATCCAGACTTGATTTTTAGTGTCCCAGTTTATGCTTTTGGGGTGTTATTTTCATTTTGTTTTGTTTTTCTCCTTTTTATGTAGCTTTTAAAAGTCAAGAAATGTGCTAGATTTAATCCCTACTTCACTCCTTTGGGTCTTTACTGTGTAAATTATTCTCTTCCTTATTTATTCAATGTGTCCATCAACCCAAAGTTTAATTTCCATCAGTCTTAGGCCATTTCTCATACCCATCTTGTTTGCTCCCAATATTTTCAATTTTCTATTTTCTTCTTATAGCTGTAAAACTGTAAAACTTTCAATTATCACATATTAATTTTCTACAAATTAATTTTAAAAAATGAAAACCCAGTGGAAAATAGACAAGCAGTTCTTTCAACAAGTATAGTCCACAAAATTATAAAATGTACTCAACATAATCAGTTATAAAAGCAATTTCAAACTAAAACATTAAGGACACATTATTATATACTCACTGGATCGACAAAAGAAAAAAAAAATCAATAGAATGTATTAGCCAGGATCTGAAGCAACAGGAGCTCATATGTTCCTAGTGAAAACATATATTAATATAACTACCTTGTAAAAATGTTTGGCATTACCTAGTGAATGTTGTAAAACTGAATAGATGAATTTCCTATGGTGGTTATGAGAACAGGCTAGCATTAAGCTAGGTGTGACAGGCAAAATTTGAGTAATTGCACTCTAAGATTATCCACCCCCAAACCCTGGGATTGTAAAGCCAATGAGATAGCATGCGCATAAATAGGTCACATGACAAAAGGGACTTTACAGATGTTGTGAAGGTTACTAATTAATTTATCTAAAAACAGAGATATCCTAGATTATCTTGTGGGCAAAACATAATCACTTGTTTTTCACAGGCAAAAAGCTTTCCCTGGCTCATGGCAGAAAAAGAAATCAGAGAGATTTGAAGCATGACAAGGGCAGACTGTGGTTTTAAGACAGAAATATCCATTTGAAATAGAATGTACATGACCTTAAGCAGCCAAGGGCCGCCCCTTGCCGGCAGACAGCAAGAAAATGGCAATTTTAGCCATTCAAACACCAGGAACTTAATTCTCCTAGTAACAGGCATGAAAAAAAAAAAGAAACAAAAACAAAAACAAAAAACAGTTCTCCAGATAGGAATGCAGATAGCCAACACTTTGATTTCAGCCTCCCGTGTCTCAAGAGCAGACTTCGACCTATCATCCTGCACTTCTGTCCTACAAAGTTGTGAGTGAATAAATAGGTATTATTTTGAACCATTAAGTTTGTGGTTTGTTACACAGCAACAGCAAATGCATACACCAGGCAAAACATGCCTTCAAAATCTCAAAGGCCAAACACGTAAAAATGACTTTCTTAATCTCCCTTCTCTCTCAAAACAAAAAGCTATTGTGGGTTTAGTAGTGAGGTTTTCTACTTCACATGGAAGACACTCATGGAACAAGATGGCAGCCTTCACAATTAAGAGTATCATTGGTCATATGGCTAAGGAGCAAAGCCAGACTCAAAAAACCCCAATGGTTCAGAATTGACACATATCACTTCTCCTCATGTTTAATGAGCTGGAACCAGGCAAACTGCCCTTCCAAAGTGCCAAAGAACTGAAAAGTAATGTCCCATGTATTCTCAGGAAGGAAAAGGGAACTGGATGACGTTAATACTAACACATTCTGCCCTTAACATCACCTAATAATTACTTTTCTTTCCTCACTCACAAAACTTTGTTGTCTCTCTAATCATCTTCATTTATATTTTATTTTATTTTATTTTATTATTATTATTATTATACTTTAAGTTTTAGGGTACATGTGACAATTATGCTAAACTCATATTTTTTAATTTTAATACCTTAACATAGTCAATGACACCTGACATATACAACTGACATTCTTTATTCTGAATTTTTTCTTTAGAGTCACCCTCTTTAGAGTCTACCCTCTTAAATTACCCCAAGTACCTTTTTAATTAAACCTTTTATTTAGATATAATTGTAGGTTCATATAAGAGAAAGATCTTATTACCCTTTAATCTGTTTTCCCCAGTGATAACATCTTGAAAAATTAGAGTAGAATATCACAACCTCATATTGACATTGATACAGTAAAGATAAGACCATTTCCCTCACTACAAAGACCCCTCAGGTAGCCTTTTATAGTCACCCACATTCCCCCGTCCCATTCCCTCCATAACCCCTTCTAACCATTAGTCTGTTCCCATTTCCTATATTTTTGTGATTTCAAGAATTTTTGTTATTTCAAGAATTTTTGTTTTTGTTTGTTCAGAGTCTCACTCTGTCACCCAGGCTGAAGTGCAACGGCAAGATCATAGTTCACTGCAGCCTCAACTCCCCAGGCTCAAGCAGTCCTCCCGCCTTAGCCTCCCAAGTAGCTGAGACCAAGGCTAATGTCACCATGCCCATCTACTTTTTTCATTATTTATTTATTGCATACATATGGGAGTCTCACTTTGTTTTCCAGACTAGTCTCAAACTCCTAGGCTCAAGGGATCCTCCCACCTCAGCTTCCCAAAGTGCTGTGATTACAGGCATGAGCCACTGTGCCTGGCCTTAAAAATGTTATATAACTGGAATCTTGCAGTGCATAACTTGGGGGATTGTTTTTATTACTTAAGATAATTACCTGGAGATTCATTCAGGTTTATTTTGTGTCAGTGGTTTAGTTCTTTCCTTGCTGCATATGGAATGGTTGTATGATATTTCTTTAGTCATATGGGCTTCTTCCAGTTTCTGGTCATTATTAAATAAAGCCGTTATAATGTTTGTCTATAGGATGTTATGAGACCAGTTCTTCACTTCTCTTGAATAAATGCCCAGGAGTGCAATGGCTGGGTCCTATGGTAATTGCAGGTTTAGTATTTTAAGAAAATGCCAAACTTTTCCTCACAGTGGATGTGCTATTTTACATGCCCGCCAGTTTTGTATAAATGATTCCACGTTTTTACCACTATTTGACAACATTATTTTTTTTTATTTTAGCCATTCTGATAGGTGTGTGAAAGTATCTCATAATTGTTTTAATTTAAATTTCCCTAATAATTAGTGATTTAAACTGTTTTGGTTGTTTTGTTTGACATCTATATATCTTCTTTAATGAAATATCTCATGTTTTGCCTACGTTCTCATTGATGTTTGTTTTATTAATTTTGTGTTGTGGGTTATTTATATATTATAGATACTAGTTCTTTGTAGAATATGTTGTTTGCAAATATTTTCACCTACTCTGTATATTGTCTATTAAGCCTCTTAACAGTTTCATGTTCAGAAAGATACAACTGAAATTCAATTGCTCATTTTTTCCTTTTATGGATAGTGGTTTTCATGTCAAGTTTTAGTATTCACTCCCAAGATTGATACGCTGAAGGTTTCCTCCAATGTTTGTTCTGAAGTTTTCTAGGTTTCAATCTTATCTATTATCTATCTATCTCTCTCTCTCTATCTCTCTATCTATCTATCTATCAATCATCTATTTTCAAGATCAAATGAGTTTTTTTTTGAGTTAATTTCTATATAAATGTGAGGTTTAGGTTGAGATTTTTTCTTCTGTCTTTTAAAATTTTACTGAATATTTTTACTGAATACTGAATATTCAACTGTCCCAACATTTGTTGAAGAGCTTATCTTTCCTCTATTGACTGTATTCACACTTAAATTCAATCAGGCATAATTGTAGGGGTTTATTTCTGAGACTTTTTTGTTCTTTTCATTTAAGCATATATCCCTCTACCAGTAGCACATGGTCTTGAATAATGTGGCTGAATAATATTTTGAAATGAAGTAGACTGATTTTCTCCCACTTTATCTTTATAAAAGTCATTTTAGCTATTGTAATTTCTTTGTATTTATATATACATTTTAGAATAATCTTCTCTATAGCAGCAAAATATATTTTTGGAATTTTTAAAGGAATTGAAAATGTCTATTTATCAGTTTTAGGAGTATTGACATTTTATTATGTTAAATCTTTCAATCCATGTGCACTATATACCTCTACATTTATTTAGGTTTTCTTTCTTTCTGATATGATTTGAAGTGTTCACCATACAAGTCATACACATCTTTTTCTTATATTTGTGCATAAGTTTTTTGGGTGATGTAAATGGTATTTTCAATTTATATATCCAATGTGTTCATTGAAAGTATTACACATTATATTGATTTTTGTATGCTTATCCTGTGATAAATATATTCGGCTGCATAATTTTATGTTTATCCTTTGACCTTGATAAACTCAGTTGATGGTTTCTAGGAGCACTGCAAATCCTTAGAATTTTCTATGTTATAAACTATGTCATCTGCAAAGATAAACTATTTTATTTCTACTTGAAAGGAATATGTACCCTGAAATTGGATGAAGTATTCTGTAAATGTTGATTAGATCCTACTGGTTGATGGTGTTGTTGAGTTCTTATATATTTTTGCCAATTTGTCTAGTTTATCTATTAAGCATTAAGAAAGTGGTGTTGATGTCTCCAACTATAATTTTGCATTTGTCTATTTTTCCTTTCAATTCTGTTTTTGTTTTGCATAATTTGCAGCTCTGCTGTTTACTGCATATACCTTTAAAATTACCATTTCTTTCAATGGACAGAACCTGTCTTCATTTTATGTCTTTGTCACTAGAAAGTTAATTTGCCCTGACATCTGCTTTTCATGATACTAATATGGCTACTCCAGCTTCTTTTATAAAAAGTTTGTGTTATATTTCTCTTTCCCCTTTTACTTTGAACCTGTCTTCATTATATTTGAAGTGAGTTTCTAGTAGAAAACATAGAGTTTGGTAATGTGTATTCCACTTTCCTAGTCTCTGTCTCTTAATTGGAATGTTTTGAAGATAACATTGAATGTAATTATTGATATGCTAGGGCTTAAATCTGCCATTTTATTTTTTGATTTTTGTTTTGTCTGCTTTTTGTCCTATATACCTGTGGATTGCATTGTTGCGGGAAGTCAGGGACCCCAAACGGAGGGACCGACTGAAGCCATGGCAGAAGAACATGGATTGTGAAGATTTCATGGACATTTATTAGTTCCCCAAATTAATACTTTTATAATTTCTTATGCCTGTCTTTACTGCAATCTCTAAACATAAATTGTGAAGATTTCATGGACACTTATCACTTCCCCAATCAATACCCTTGTGATTTCCTATGCCTGTCTTTAGTTTAATCTCATAATCCTGTCATTTTGTAAACTGAGGAGGATGTATGTCGCCTCAGGACCCTGTGATAATTGCATTAACTGCACAAATTGTAGAGCATGTGTGTTTGAACAATATGAAATCTGGGCACCTTGATAAAAGAACAGGATAACGGCAATGTTTAGGGAACAAGAGAGATAACCTTAAACTGACCGCCGGTGAGCCAGGTAGAACAGAGCCGTATTTCTCTTCTTTCAAAAGCAAATGGGAGAAATATCACTGAATTCTTTTTCTCAGCAAGGAACATCCCTGGGAAAGAGAATATGCGCCTGGGGGTGGGTCTATAGATGGCCCCCCTGGGTGTGGTCGTCCTCTATGGTCGAGACTGTAGGGGTGAAATAGACCCCAGTCTCCCATAGTGCTCCCAGGATTATTAGGAAGAGGAAATTGCCGTCTAATCAATTTTGGTCAGACAGGTTGCTCTCAAAACCCTGTCTCCTGATAAGATATTATCAATGACAGTGGTGCCCGAAACTTCATTAGCAATTTTAATTTCAGCCCAGTCCTGTGGCCCTGTGATCTCGCCCTGCCTCCATTTGCCTTGTGATATTCTATTACCTTGTGAAGTACATGATCTCTGTGACCCACACCCTATTCGTACACTCCCTCCCCTTTTGAAAATCCCTAATAAAACCTTGCTGGTTTTGCAGCTTGTGGGGCATCACAAAACCTACCAACATGTGATGTCTCCCCTGGATGCCCAGCTTTAAAATTTCTCTCTTTTGTACTCTGTCCCTTTATTTCTCAAACCTGCTGACGCTTAGGGAAAATAGAAAAGAACCTACGTGACTATCAGGGCAGGTTTCCCAATATTGCATGTTTTAGAAGTTTATTTGTTTGATCTTATTTTTGAGTGTGTCTCTTTGGACAGCCTTTACAGTATCTGATCTAAGTATTACATTATATACACACTACTTAGAGTCTACTGGTGTCATTTTATCCGTTTGAGTGAAGTGCAGAAACCTTAGTTCTCTTTACATCCCCGTACTCTCTCCATTTATTATATCAAATTCTTATATATTTATTCCACATACATTCAGTACTACATCAGATAATGTTATAATTTTCACTTTAGCTGTCAAACATATTTAAGAAGGCTGAAGAGGGGAAGGAACAGTGTTAGGAAATAGTCAAGACATAGAGTATTTCTATTGAATCGAGGCCATGGAGTGTTCAGAGTTGACCTATATGGATATCTTTAATTACATACCATTCTGCCATGTTTTGATTAGCAGTCTCAAGGAAAAGAGGGACAACCCTAAGTAAAGACAACTGTGAGAAGCAAAGAAGGTAGATTGAAAAGAAAAACTTCACCAATGTGATAATAAATAATAAATTTAAAACATAATGAAGTAAAATTTAAAAACGTAATTATAATAGATAAAAGTAAAACTAAGAAATTTAGTAGTGTTTGCAAGTACTACTTGGAACAGATTGTTAAAAAATAAAAACGTCAATATCATTCTTCAATACTATGAGATCATATAACTTTTTCTATTGTGCTATTTTTATTATTGTCATCATGAGCAGCTCGTGTTCTTAACCATAATTGTTTGTGTACCTAATCTCTGAATCATTGTGACGACTATACAACTGTTCAATCCTGAAATAGTGGAAATATGAAAAATCTATTATTAGGTTGTACCAGATAAATGAAAAAACTAACATGGATGAATTACGGATTAGAAAGTAGAAAAAAGAGAACAGTGACTATCAACAGACACTCAAAAATAGCTGTAGATACATGTAAAAAATTAATATTTTCATCATGATTATCCTTGAATCATAGTTTGTTGCATTCTTAAAAATAGGTTTGACATCCTTTCAACTAAAATATGTTTAATAATTGGAAAAAAGTGGTTTGCATCTATATAGGACTGAAAGAGGTGTCCTCAAATGGTTTGATTTTTAATTTGAGCAAAGCTTTATCTCACTTTCTATTAATGTGTTCACAATGTACTCATAAAACAACATGTGTACTCATAAAGATCTGACCCTAATCCATTGAGGTTCTTGTTGCCCTCTTCATTGTGGAGGAACTTTTTTTGAAAATTAGAAGTTGTTTTGTTGGTTTCCTTTTACTTTTTTTTCCCACTTTATTGAGATCAATTAACAAATAAAGTTGGATCTATTTAAGTTGTTCAATTTGATTTTTGTTATATAGTACACATTATGAAATGGTAGCCACAATTAAGTTAGTTAACATATTCGTCACCTTACATAGGTACCATTTTCCTTTTTTTTATGTAATAAAAATTCTAGATTATTTTGATTAACTCATGCTGCAGATTTTTTAAAAACAATGGCTAAATAATTTACATTCATAGAGATAATTAAACCTTTTTCTCATTTCCATTAATGTTAATCATACCACAAATGAGACATTATTTAAACACTTAAGAATATCTTAATATATAGGGTAACCCTAAAGGAAAATGCACATTGAGAGGATCTATAATATTGAGCAGCAATAAAAAATATTTTCTTTTGAATTTAAATATTGCTTTATGTGGACATTATTCTGTTTGAAGTTTCCTTCCCATCAAATATTGACCATTCAGCTTCAATTGATAAGAAAAACTCTTGAAACTATCATCATAACTAATCACTGTTTAAATTGTTTAGGGAAATATTATCTATAAGAAAATTATTAAGTATGAGATAATTATATACCATTAATTCAAGGTATTTCTTTAAAAGTTTAAAAAGTGAGAATTGTCAAAATTAAAGAACAGCAAAGCTAAACTTGCATCAATCATTACTCATAGGCATAAATTTGGCTTGTGAAAAGCACTTTTAAATTTATGAAATGTAACTATAGTAATGATGTGAATACAATGCAGGAAAAAATAAAAGAAACCTTAATTATGGATAGTCATATATTAATTAGAGCTTGCCGGCTTCATTTAAGTATGTGACTTATTACACCTATCAGAAATTATTAGAACCCCTAACTGCAGTGTGGGTAAAACTTCCCACCATTCAAAGCTCTTCCACTTTTTATCCAAGTAACGTATGTCAATTCAATGTTTATGTAAGCCAGAGACCATCTCTTCTTTACCTCTATCTTAACTCTATTAATTCTGACATTATTCCTGATTTATTCTCATACTTTTATTCCTTTATTCATTCGACAAATATTTGTTGCCTTCTTTCTGTATGTCAGACACTATTCCAAAGAATCAAGTAGCACAAATTCCTGCCTTCCTGGGGCTTATGATCCATAGATAGTTGTAGGCTAAAACAAAAGTAAATATATAGAATAGAGAAAATATTTAAAAATAATTTTCAAAGAAAAACGAAAGAGGAAATACTGAATACTGGAGTTTTAGGGTGAAAATGGGGTACAATTTAAAATAAACTATTTGACATACATATTACCAAAAACATAAGATTTGACTAAAGACTTGCAGATTATCTATGGAAAGTACAACCCGAGAGAAAGAAACAGCTAATGCAAATACCTTAGGAACTATAAAGAAATCTGTATGGATAGAGAGCAGAATATTTGGCAAGAATATAAGGAGATGCTCAAATAAAGAAAGAAGAGTTGAGAACACAGCAGAAATGTATGACTCACTGTCATAGTTTTTGTCTTTATTTTATGACAGGAAACTATTATGCAGTTCTGAGCAAAAAGGAAGTATGATACTCATTTAAGATTTTTAAAGTTTTATTTTACTTACAATCACCTCAAGTAAGTGTAGGTATGTATGGGGTATATTGTGATGTTTTAATACATATATACATTGTATAATGATCAAATCAGGGTAATTAGTACATCCATCACTTTAAACATTTATCCTTTCATTGTGGTGATAATATTCAAAATCTTCTCTTCTAGCTATCTTAAAACATGCAACGCATTATTATTAGCTATAGTCACACTGCTGTGTAGAAGAACAGCACCTTCTCTCACTCTGATACTGAGAATAGATGGGAAACTGTGGAAGCAGAGAAACCAGTGAGGAGGTTCTTGCAGTAATGCCAGTGAGAAACTATATGTGGCTTTTACCTGGATAGTAGTGATGGAGGAAATGAGAAGTGTTCCAACTCTGAATATTTGTTGAATGTATAATCAAAGGACTCCCTTACAAAATGTATATGGGATATGAGAGACAGATGTCAAGAATGTTCCTAAGATTTTGGCCTAAACAACTGGAAAAACTGAATTGAGATGAAGAAGGCTGAAAATGTAACATGAGTGAAAGGTAAGGTCAAAAGGTGGGTTCAGAAAAGTTTTTTTTTATAAAATGTCTATTTTACTTTAGTGAAAATGTTGAATATGCAATTATATACATGAGCCTGGAGTTCAGGACTGACATCATACTGGACATATACTGTGGGTGTTTCTTTAGCCCAGAAATGGGACTTAAAATTTTAAAAGATCATCAGACAAGTGAATTTACCTTCACCTTAATATCTAATCAAGTTACTTATCCCTCTATCCTTGATCTCCAGTTAGGTTTCTCTTTCCCCACCCTTGATATCTAATCAAGTTTCTCTTTCACCACTTTTTATACTTAACCAGAGTCCTCTTATCAATTTTCCATTCACTAAGCTTCTCACTTGGCCTGTTGACCATAAATTCCAAGCTGCCCCTGTTATGATCAGAGTTGAACTCAATTCTATACAGAAATATTGCTCTTCTACAGATTAGACTGAATACAATTTGTCTTATTATTTTTAATAAGTGTCTGGTATAATTTTTCTCTTTAATAGTTCTGGCGCCATGACTAACATATGATTATATTCACTGTTAGACCCACAGATTTTGTGCTCAGGACCTCAAGTGCACACCTTTGAAGACTTTGTCTTCACACCTCACTGATTGATTTATGTTATAGCCTGAAAGTTTGTGTCCTGCCAAAATTCATTTTGAAATCCAATCTTTGAGGTGATGGTATAAGCGGTTGGGACCATTGGAAAGTAACTAAGTTACAAGAATAGATTAGTACCCTTATTAGAAGTGGCCTGGAAGCTAGCTAACTCTTTTTCTACCATGTGAGGATATAAGAAGGCTGTCATCTGCAAACAGGAAGAGCGCCCTCACTGGGATCCAATCATGTCATACCCTTATCTCATTTCCGGCCCTCAGAACCACCAGAAATAAATTTCCATTGATAATAAGCCACCCAATCTACGGCACTTTGTTACAGCATCCAAAATGCTGACTAGGACAGAACCTTAGATTTATGACATGGAAAATTATCGTTGAATTTTGGTTGAATTTTTGTACTTTGGTATTTAGAATGCCCTTTCTTTGGAACAAATAGAGATCTTGCTTCATTTTCTTTGTAAAGTTCTAATTTGTACAGGTGTCTTTAGGATTTTCTTTCTTTTTTGTTGTTATTTTTGAGCTTCCTTTCCCCATGGAAATTCTCATTCTTCTGATTCTCCTCCTCTGAAGATTTCTGCTGACTTTTCATGAACTATGACAGTTAACTTTGTCTAGTTTCTTCCTTGTTGGCATGATTTTACCAATAATAATTTGGATCTTCAATGGCTTCTTTGGAAAATTTAAGATCTCCCAAAACTGACCTCTCTCTTCCCATCACCTCTGCTCTCCTATCTTTTTACCACACTTGATCTTCCCTTCAGCAACCTTAATCATTCAATTTATCCTCCTTCTAAACTTCTGTCTCTTCTATCCATCTGTTCACTCTTGCTAGTCCTTTTGCTGCTTCCCACTGTAGCCCCTCAACCTCCTAAAGTGTTTGAACTTTAGGCTCCCTCTACGCACCGGGGGCTTTCAAAGGACTGAGGAACCCCAACTTAGGCTTAATAGTGAAACTCACATGTTTACTAGATATTTAAGATTATTAAAATTATAAATTTGATTTTAAATTGAATTATTATTCTGACAAAGTTTATTTCAACAATAATCATATTTAAATGTCTTTCTAAATATACTTTCCAAACATTTTCTGGTCACTTGCAACCTTAGACCTATGCTATGTTAAGTGAAAGAAGTTCATTAAATATCCATATAATTTCTAAGTAAATAACTATTGAAACATTCATTACCAACCATGTTTAAATTTATATATTTCTGGCTTCATATTTTTATATGACAAAGCAAGGCCGAATATATTTGGATGTTAATAAATATGTTCTTTTTGCCACACTGAAAAATTGTATTTGAGGAATCGTACTTATGCAAATCATGAGACAATATATTCATACACTTTGCTATTTGGCCACAAAATGCTAGCATATTACAGAAAGTACACAGTTATCTAATTCTTAGCACTTTTCTGTAAAATAAATATTACCAGTGGTTAACAATCATAATCAATATATGTAAATAAAACTACTTGAGTTCTTAAGCCCAACTATAGCATTAGGTTCAATCCTGTTGTCATTTGTTTAAAAGAAATTATGGCCAGATATCACCTTGAATATTCAGTGACAAGATGTCAGGAACTTAAGGTTATATTCCTTGAGCAACTTGCAGAGGTGGATTGTAGAATATGCTGTCACTTCCTGTCCATATTTCATCAAGACATGCCATTGTGAGGGCACTTTGGCTCAATTTCCAACTGCTAGCATATGCATCTGTTTAGCTGAGGGATTTCTGTGTTAGCGGAACCTGTTGAGCCTGTGTGCTAAGAGGCCAGAAATACTGGTAATTTTATACTTCTAACTGGGGTGTATGTACTCCCTCTTGGGAGCAATACTTCTGGATGGCTAATTAGAATTGAGGCACATATATCCCAGTTTCTTGCCCCTGAGGTGAAAAAAACTCTGATGGACATGTCCTTGAAAATGATTCAAGTAGTTATACACAACTGTTTCATGATCAACAGCAGGGCTTATGTTTGTTTTATAACTGATATAACCTGAGTACCTAGAACACTGCATAGTGCACAATAGTCAGTCAAGTAATATAAGTCCTGGCATATAGTAGAAGGTACTATATGACCCAGTAAGTAAATTAATTGATGAATTAATTTCCTACAAATTAACATATAAGCCACAAGATAGTGGAAAGACCTGACGACATGTGTTTGTGAATTGTGTTTAAATTAATTTTGGGTTGTTTTTGTTGTTGTTTGGTAGGGGAGGTGGGAAGGTTATGCATGATACCAGCGTCAGTCTATAAATGAATTACAGCAATTTTATCAGCCGATGCCATAATGAAGAAAATATACATGGAGTCAGCAGTCACTGGAGATAACGTAATCAAACTTACAAATAGTTAGTAGTTGTAATTAAATGAAACTGCCTATTGATTCTTGCTTATCGTAGATGTATTGAATAGCGAAAGAACAAGATTTCACATTTGCCTGTTAGTTTTAGACACTTGGTTTCCTAAAGGCAAAGGGATAGAACTATATGATTTGTGGAGGTCTCTTATGGCTCTTTGAATAAAAGTTTAGTTTAATTTCAAGTAAAGGCTATGAAAAGTTATCATTTAAAATAAAATTGATTTATCAACTACCTATATTTTCTCTTTCAGCTTCTTTCTATATCTCTAAGAACATGAGGAATAACAAAAACAAACGAAAATATCTACAAATACCTGACACCCATGAAGAAAGATAACAGAAAACCTAATTCTATTATTTTGAAAAACTTTTACAAATAGGCAGATGTAACTGATTTGAGAAAAATGTAATATAAACTCTTTTATGGTATCCACCTCATAAAGCAGAATTCTTAATAAACAGGTAGAAAGATATTTTATACTCTCACCACCTCTTCTCCTGACTGTATGTCCCAGTGTTTGGAAACAAACATATAAACAATCAAGAATCAAAAACTGGACTGCCTTATCCTCACTGTGCATGCGATACTTCTGGAAATGTCTAGATCCAGTGTTATTCTTTTCATCTCACTGTTTTTGAATACTTAGCGCAATTTTTCTAGGAAGACAAGTAGTGAGTAATTATCTTACTTTAAGTGTGTGAGGAGATGGGGAGAAAACTAGTAGTGCTGTCTATTAGGATGAAAATAGTTCAATGTACCTAAGAACACGTTGTCAAATCTTGGTGAAATTTGCCTCCTCAATATTTCACAATCTTTTCTACTCCACTAGTTTCCCCCAGATGCAAGCACTTGACCTCTGCAGTAACTTCCTAACATTCCCCACCTCCTTCCTTTTCTTAAGCTTTTTTCCTCAAAGACCTTTCAAAATGCAAATCTTAACAGGTAACTCCTTTATTAAAACCATTCAATGGTTTCCCAATGGTCTTAGAAAGAATAAATAAAGCTGCTAGAAGAGAGGACTTGAAATGTTTTCAACACATAGAAATGACAAATGCTTAAAGCCATGGACACCTCAAATACCCTGACTTGATCATTACATATTCTATGCATGTAACAAAATAGCACATGTACCCCAAAATATTTAAAATATTATATCAACAAAAATAATTAAATAATTAAATAAGCCTAACTTAGCCTATGAAACCTGTAGGTCATGGACTTACATTTGTGCTAAGAGTCATCTCCTGCTCCTTTCTTCTCCTTCTGTGCACGTCAGTCAAATACACTGGTATTCTTTTAGTTCTCCAAACATGACATCCTCTCTTCTGTCCTATGTCACTGTGCATTCATTGTTTCTTCTGGGAATTTTCCCTCTCATATTTCTTTTAATTTAGATCACTCATTATTCCTCGATATCTCAGGTCAAAGATTACTTCCTTGGGAAAGTGTTCCTTGACCAGCAAAACGCAATAGTCCTTTCCATTCTCTTATTGTTAAAGTTATCATCATATTTCCAATTACACATTTCTGTTATTTTTTGATTATTGCATTTTCTGTGTTACCTTAAACACATACCCCAAGAGAATAGCAACTGTCTTGTTTTATTCACCATTTATTCCTCACCAATTAACACAGTGTCCAGCACTGGGTAGATGTTCAATACATATATGTTGAATGAATTAATAAATGGAGGTTATAGGAGAAGATAAAGTTTAGTAGAGTAAATCTGTATTAGGTAAAGCCCTGCTAAGAAAATTAGAATTGATTAGAAATTATAATCAAGCTGCAATTACACTTATAAATCAGAAAAAGATAATTGTCAACTCAGAACTGCACATCATGCAGGGACAATGGAAGCTCAATCATTACATAAAAGGCTTCTGATTACATATAACTTATCCAAAGGCAACTTAATATTCAACATAAATAGTCTATAGAAAGCTAGTACAGAATACTATCTTGGAAAATCAGAATTTGAGCAAAGCATTAAAAATTATCAATGGCAGGAACAAGTATAAACTTAAAATATGAGTGAATATTAAGTTTTAATAGAATAAAATTTTTAAAAAGCTCTATTAAATATAAGCAGAAAGCCTTTTGTGTAGAATCAACTCAGTTGAAAAGATGAAGGATAGAGATGAAAAGATAAGGTAGGATAAGCATGATGAATAAGCAAAGGAGTATTACAAAGAAACACATAAGAGCACTTATGATGGGAATACAGTTAAATACACTGTAATGAAATAGAAATACAAAGTAAGGGAATTAAATAGTGAGGAAAAAGACTGATGGCCATCAAAAATCCACATCGTTTTGAGTGGAAAAATAAAGCAAATTATGAAAAATATACTTATTACTAGGCACAGAACTATCATTCTACAAAAGTGATATAACATGTACCCTAAAACTTAAAGTATAATAATAATAATAAAAAAACTGTGAATGATCTGAGATTTTGTTGAGCATACCACAGTTTCACAAAGTCCGGAAAAAGACAGGAGACTCCTGGGTCAAAAACAAAGAACTTATTATTTATGGACCAAAATGCAGCATGAGCTCTATGTTTGCATCTGTTTCTCTTACCCCCAAAGACCCACAAGTGTGATGTGGAGTGGCCAAAATGGATAATGTACACGAAGTGGGTTATGCTACCATTGAGGAAGCCAAAGCTTAGGAAACTACGGTCTTTTAAAAGAGGCTTTAAGGAGGAGCTTTTAAGGATACTAGAAGCAAACCTTCTCAATCATTGCTCCAGAGAGAGTCAATACCTTTATTATTTTGGAAAGCCAATGAATCTGCCTTATGCTCTTGAGGGAGGCGCTATTTCTGTATCAAAAGGCTGTCAGGTACACAAATTCTTAAAACAAAACAAAAAAAAAACCTCTTAAAAATAATCTGTAATTCATCTGCTCCAAAGATATCCAGCAACCCAAAGCCTCCATGGAGAATTGGCTGGTAATCTCCCCCCACCCAAAAAACCCTACATAAATATTATAATTTTTTTCTAGGATAAAAAAACACTTAAGAAAAGAAATATATATCTTGTTCATAAGTTGAAAGGCTCAATATTATTAAACACATAATTATTATATATGTGTCTTTGTGTGCCTGTACACAACATCTATCTATCCATCTGTCATTTATCTATCTCTATAATCCACATATATGAAGAGAGATATTTCTAGTTTAAACTAAAGGAGAGTAAACAATTATTTAATCTTGGATTAAGAATATCTTGTAACTCCTCTTGCAGACTTTTATATTTGAAAAAATAAACTGACAGATTTAAGATCTTTGTATTTCAAAAAAACCTTACTAAATATTCACTCATATTCAAAAAAAGGTAAAAAACTAAAATATATATAATTTAATAAATAATTTTATACTATAGTATAAAGTGGTAATGCCCTTACTATCTCTTGTATTATAAAGCAATTAGAAAAATTAATCTCTTAAACCCATAATATTAAGAAAATCAGTAAACACAAAATTTTAAATTAATGAAAAAAGATTATAAATGATGGATTAAAAATAAAGAAATAATACTAAATGTATCTATTAAGCAGAAATACATAAATAATATAAATTTATATACTTCTTCTTAGACTATAAATTTGGCAAAGATTTAAAGACCCAACAAAACTAGTATTAAGGAAAGCACATGTAAATATTTTGTGTTGGGAACAAGCATCAATTAATCAAAACTTTAGGGAGAAAATGTTAAATTATATATGTATCTATTACATGCAGCTGTGTAATATGTTACATCATTCAGGAGCATCTTGACTAGGCAGCTCTGGTTCAGGGTCTCGTATAAAATTATAATTATTTATCAGCCAGAGCTAAAGTAATCTAATTGTTTGACTGGGGCTGAAGGATCCATTTCCTAGGTAGCTTATTCACATGGCTGGTAAATTAGTGCTAGAAAGTTGATTTGTATCCACCCGGGCCTCTCAACACGGCTGCTTAGGGGTTCTTATTACATGGCAACTTACTTTTCTCAGTCTGAGCCAGCAAGAGACCAACACAGGCATTCCTATGTCATTTATGACCTAGCCATGAAAGTTATATACCATCATCTTGGCAGTATTGTCATGATCACACAGGTAGCCTAATTCAGTACTGGAGAGCACTACACAAGATCAGGAACACCACAAGGTGAGGATTATTGACAGCCATCTTGGAAGGTGGAGCATCACAGTCTCCCTCTGGCCTCCAATAATTCACATCACTCCAAAATGTAAATTATACTACACTTCTTCTCCAAGGCCTTCAGATATCTCAAGAAACTACAGAATAAGCATGAAGTAAGTCCAAGATTTCCTCATCTAAGTCAGATTCAAGTGTGGATGGAACCTATTGGGTAGAGTTCTTCAATTACAATTCTTGATCTAGACATCTGTAAGTTAAACATGTTTGCCTCTCATAAATCCCGCATCAATGTTAATATAGGCTTATTATAAGCATTATAAACACTCCTGTTCAAAATAGTGGGGGCAGGTATGGAGGCAGTTAGGAATCGGTAATTCACAATATTTCTGAAAACCAGCAGGAAAGATGTAGGCAGTTCTTTAACAATGGCTCAAAGCGTGGAATGTTACCTCTTTTTAGACCCTTAGTCTTCCATTTTGAGTGTGTTTCCTTTTTCTATAAATGGTAGCCTCAGTTTACAGTAGAATAATTTTGTCAGCCTGACCTCTGTGTATAAAAGTTCAGGAGTTTAAAGGTTTGTTTTTGACTGTGTCTAGACCTTTCAGTTCAAAATATCAGTATGTCTGATAATACAGTTCTCTTAAAAACTTTGGGTTTTCTATGATTTGCAGTCACTTCATTAGAAAAAAAAAATCAACATATCTCTTTAAAATAAGCCCTTGTTCTTTTTGAGTTTTTTCTCTGGGTATGCCAAAGGACAATTCCTTAAGATCTTACAAGGATCTGTTATTTGACTCAACAATTCTTTGAAACATTGTAAGGTTTTATAAAAGAATTTTTCTATCACCCTCATGTGTTTATTTTTAGCTTGTGCTTTCCTGAGAGTACTTTGGATTTGATCTTCCCCACAAGACCATTTCTTAATTTATCATCATTTGCCATTTGAAGAAGCTACAGATAAATCTTGTATTTTTTACACGTAACAGTTGTTTTTAGCTTCTCTTTCTCCTTATGTACATTGTATTCTATAACAGTAGCAAGTAGCCAGGGAGAACATTCAACATTTTGCCAAGAAATCTCCTTAGGGTAATCATTCATTTTATCATGTGTTTTCCACCTTCCATACTACTGTAAATACCAATGCTGCTAAATACAATTACATCATAAGAATCTCACATGATTAAGCTCCCAGTAATATCATTTTCTTTTTTCTTTTTAGCAACATTTTATTTTAGATACAGGGACAATATGTGCAGGTTTCTTCCATTGGAATATTGCATGATTCTGAGGTTTAAGGTACAGATCCCATTACCCAGGTAGTGAGCATAGTACCCGATAGTTTTTCAATTCATGTTTCCTACCCAATAGTCCGCAGTGTCTATTGTTCCCATATTTATGTCCGTGTGTGCTCAGTGTTTAGGTCCCAATGATAAGTGAGAACATATGGTACTTGGTTTTCTGTTCCTGCGTGAATTTGCTTAGGATTATGGCCTCCAGCTCCACCCATGTTGCTGTGAAGGAGATGATTTCATTCTTTTTTTCTAGATGCATAGTATTCCATGGTGTATATGTACCACGTTTTCTTTATCCAGTCTACTGTTCGTAGGCACCTTGGTTGATTCAATTTCTGTTATTGTAAAGAGTGCAGTGGTGAACATATAAATGTGTATCTCTTTTTAGTAGAATGATTTATTTTCTTTTTGGTATATATCCAATAATGGGATTGCTGGGTAGAATGGTAGCTCTGTTTTATGTTCTTTGAGAAATCTCCAGACTGCTTTCCACAGTGGCTGAACTAATTTATATTCCCACCAACATTCCCTTTCCTCCTCAGCCTCACCATTGGCTGTTGTTTTTTGACTAAGCCAATAACATTTTCTTTAAGTGCTCACTGACAGCCTCCTTAAGGAGAAGAGAACTTCCACAGCAGTCTCTTCATGGTTTTTTGGAACTTTACTAACACTTTCCTCCTGCCTTTCCAGCTTAACTCAATGCCTAGCCAGTCTATGTTTATAGCCACTCCACGTTTATAGGTTTTGTTATGGCAGCATCCCACCTACTAGTATCTACATTGGTATCAGATATCTATCGCTGTGTACCAAACTGCAACATCATAAAGTTGCTTAAAACAATAATAACTCAGTTATTATCTCTTACAGTTTCTGTGGGTCACAAGCTCTGGAGCTGTGTGGCTGGCAGTTTGGACTCTAAGTTATTCATGTTGTCTTCACACATCGACCAGGGCTACAGTCATCTGAAAGCTTTTCTGCTGCTGGTGAATCTGTTTCCATGGTGACTCACTTACATGGCTGGCAGGTTGTTGCTGATAAGTTGGTTCCTTTCCACGTGAATCTCTTCAAAGGAATGCTTAAGTGTCCACATTGTATAGCAGATGGATACCCCCAGAGCAAAGGTACTAAAACACCAAGGTAAAATATATAATACCTTTATGATCTATCTATTCAAGTCCAAAACTCTCACTCTGCCATAGCTTACGGCTGACTCAGTTCAGCCCTAGTTAAAATGGGAGATGGACTACACAAAGGCATAGATACCAGAAAGCAATGTTCACTGGAGGTAATATTTAAGGCTGCCTATCACAATATATCAAAAACCTTTTTAAAGCTTCATGATATAGCTCATATATATTCCTAGGTTTATAAAAGAGGTATAAAAACAATTTCTATTTTTTTCAAAGTTTCCTCTTCTAAATTCATATATCTTTTATTGTCAACTAAACTCATAAAATCGAAATCAAATGTCTTTACCAGAAAATAGAATATATATCTTATTTGTTGTGACTTTATATACTCTTTATTTCTCTTGCATCCAATTTATTTCTGAATTTATACTTCTCTTACTTTGGTATGGATAATACTGTCTTTACCTCATACATTATTTGGCATGCTATGTCACCTCAAACTACTGGATTGTCACCTTGTTTTACCCAGAACCTTAGAAAATCCTAACAGTTACTTATTATAGAGTTGTACTTGTGCTCAGTACTGAATGGTGGTAATCATTTTTTTAAATGAATCCTTAAATTTTATTGAGACAAAAATGTTTCTTCTTCATTGTATTAGATTTCAAATCAGTTTTAAAAAGTACGTAGGACTTAAACTTATTAAACAATAAAAAATAGAATTGTCCCAAACAAATGAGATGATAGTTTGCCTTTGTGATGTTTGCTAAATTGTCCCTTCCAACAAGCTTTCATTTTTCCTTGCCTAATAAGAAACAAAATTAAATCAAACTGCAAAAATAGACAAAATAAGAGAGAGAAGGGAGGACATCGTCAATTGTCTTGTCTCTGTTTGTTTAAACACCCTGATATCTTTTATTATTTAGGCAGATTGTCATTATGGTTATTATTTAGGCAGATTGTCATTATAGTTATTATTTAGGCAGATTGTCATTATGGCTGGGTGCGGTGGCTCACACCTGTAATCCCAGCACTTTTGGAGGCTGAGGCGGGCAGATCACAAGGTCTAGAGATCGAGAGCATCCTGGCCAACATGGTGAAACCAGGCTCTACTAAAAATACAAAAATTAGCCGGGAGTGGTGGCATGCGCCTGTAGTCCCGAGTGAGGCAGGACAATTGCTTGAACCTGGGAGGCAGAGGTTTCAGTGAGCCAAGATCATGCCACTGCACTCCCACTTCAGCCTGGCAACAGAGCAAGACCCCATCTCAAAAAGAAAAAAATATATATACAATATAGATAGATAGATAGATAGATAGATAGATAGACAGACAGACAGACAGATAGATAGATCTATAGATACATCATTTTTACCAAATGTGGGATCTAAGGCAAGAGATTGAATGCCTTTTTTTCCTCATTTTCAAAGGGAATAACATTGTTATCAATTTTGTAGGACTGTTGAGAGCATTAAATAGTACCACACACATAAAGTGTTTATAAAGATATCTGGTTGCAAGCATTCAATAAGTAACAGTTATTATTTTTGATGAAACAGACATTTTACCTACAACATGTATACAACTGTGAGATACTGAGTCATTTTCAGTAAGTGTATATTTTGTAGCAAAAAATAAATACACTTCTTTGTGTAGTAATTACAACCTTTATTTAATTCACGGTTTAGTGTCTGACATACCTTTCTGCTAAAGTGTGTGAATCAAATTATTTTGTTTACATTTGATTTGGCCATAATAACAGAAAGATGTTGGAATGTTTCATTTTGTTCCTTTTCGTTACTAGGTTTTCATCATCAGAAATAAGTAAATAAATAAATGTATAGATTTTAAAATATATATGTATGTGGTTTTTTGTGTGTATATATACATATATATTTATATGTGCATACGTTCTAATGGTTAGGATGTAAGATAGTCCTTTTGGGGGCATGTCCCTCTATCTAACTTTACTCAGCTGCAAAAGCAACATTGTTTCCCAAGCTCCCAAATAACCTAATAAAAACAAATGGGCAAAGGATATGAATAAACATTTATCAAAAAACATACACAAATGACTAGTATGTATACCAAAAAAAAAAAAATGCTCAATGTCACTAACCATTAGGGTAATGAAAATCAAAACCACAGTGAGACAACACCTCACACCTGTTAGGATGGCTGTTATAAGAAAGATAAGAGATTGCAAGTGTTGGCAAGAATATTGAGAAAATGGAACCCTTGTGCGGCATTGGTGGAAATGTAACTTACTACAGCCATTGTGGAAAACAGTTTGTGGAGGTTTCCCAAAAGGTTAAAAATAGAACTACCATATATGATCCAGCAATCTTACTATGGAGTATACTACATCCAAAGAGAATAAAATCAGTACTTCCCAAAAATATCTGCACCCCTATGTGCATTGCAACACTATTGGCAGTAGCTAAGATATGGGATCAATCTAAGTGTTCATTGGCAGATTTTTGGATAAAGAAAATGTGTGCCTTCATGCACGCAAACAGGCATGCACACACACACTCACACACACAAATAAAATGCTCCACACACACACACACACACACAAACAATAAAACACTCTTTAGCACACACAATAAATGTTCTTCAGTCTTAAAAATGAAGGATGTCCTGCCATTTGTAACAATGTGGATGAACCTGGAGGACATTATACTACGTGAAACAAGCCAGGAAGAGAAAGACAAACACTGCATGATCTCCCATGTGCAATCTTAAAAAACATTTAACTCATAGAAGCAGAGTAGAATGGTGGTTGTCTGGGGCCTGGTAGAGGGACAGAGCAAAGTCATCAGGGAATAAAGAGGAGTTGGCCAAACGGTAAAAAGTTTCAGTTAGGATGAATTAGTTCTGGAGAGCTGTTGTATAGCCTGACTACCATAGTTAATAGTAATGTATTGCATTCTTGAAAATTTCTGAGAGATTTTAAGGGTTTTGACACAAAAATATGTGTATGAGGTGAGGAATATCTCAATTTGTTTGATTTAATAATCTAACAATGTATACATATATCAAAATATCACATTGCATACCATAAATGTATATAATTTTTACTTTTCATTTATACCTTAAGAAATCTGGAGAAAAATAAAATTGCTTTTAAATGGACTAAATTCACTTTTCTAAAATCTCAACTATATTTTCAAAACATTAGTATCTCTGTCAATAACAGGGTCTAAAAATGCTTTTTCAGAATGATCGTAACACAAATTTTTAAATAACTAGTTTTTAAGGAAATTACAGATATCGAAGCCTAGACATAGAATGTCACTAAAGAAATGGCTTCTGATTTAGCCTGAATATATGACAGGCCAAGATCAGATCTCTGGGTTGAAGGTCAAAAATATTTTTAAATTGTCCTTTCTTCTTCCTTTCTCTCCCTCTCTCTAAAATGTTTGAATGGAAAGGTAACTAATTAAACGCAGGCAAATACATACAACAGTCAAAGAGACCTACACACTTAGATGACAATGTTCATGCCCTCTCTATGTAGGTAGAGTTACATTAAAAGGCTTATTATAAGACTGACCCTTCTGAGCAACTGTCATGGGTAAACACATGATTCAACTGCTTGATTGCCTAATCCACAGCAGTTGTAAATGCAAAATTACTTTCAAAAGGAGTCAAGTGCTGGAGCCCCTAGATCAGCCTGTCACCTCATTGAACGGAGCCTGCGCTAGGGTCAGTGATTCTTAAAGTGTGGTAACAGGACCAACAGCATCACAGGAAATCTTGTAGGAAATGATGATTCCTGGGCCCCGCAAAGACTATGTGAACCAGAAATGTTATAATTGGAGGCCAGCAATCTGTTATTATTATTATTATTATTATTATTATTGATGGTGTCTCACTGTCACTCAGGCTGGAGCATAGTGGCATAATCTTGACTCATTGCTGCTTCAAACACCTGGGCTCAAGCTGTTCTCTTGCCTCAGCCTCTTGAATAGCTAGGACTCCAGGCATGTGCCACAAGGCCCAGCTAATTTTGTAAAAAAATATTTTTGTAGAGCTAGAGTCTTGCTATGTTGCCGAAGGTAGTCTTGAACTCTTAGATTTAAGCAATCTCCCTACTTCAGCCTCCCGAAATGTTGAGATTATAGGTGCGAGCCTCCACGCCCAGCCAATCTGCCTTTCGATAGGCTATCCAGATGATCCTAAAGAACACTGAAGTTAGTATGTTTGATTTAATCCTTTTCAATTTTATATTTTTGTTACTAAAGAACACAGAGTTATTTAATGTAGAAATGTTTCAATTCTCCTTTTCTAGTACACTTGATTAGACAATCCAAAAGGATTTTTCTCGTCTGAAAGGAAACAAAGCAATAGAGCAAGGCAAAACAAAACAATTCTACCCCAATAAGTTTCTGACCTAGATTTAAAATGAAGTTAATTATTGGTGAACTGAGATAGCTATATAATTATTATGGTTATATAGAGATATGGACAGGTATAGTTATGGAGTTAGATGTCTGAAATCCTCTTAATTCTAGTCGTTCATAACTCTAGAGTAATGCTGACAAACAATCATTAGTACTATTTGTTGATGGGAGGCGGAGTTGGCTATATTTGCCCTTGAAAGACTATTCATTTCTGTATACAGAAACTCACAGAAATGTGTATATGGGTATGCATGTGTCTGTATACATTAGACTACTTTCTGTGAGTCAAGCACAGATCTTCCCATTGCGGAGGCTTCTTTCTGTTGTGGAGAGAATGATAGACAGTAACAAAATAAGGGGAAAGGGATGAAAGAGACCAACTGTGGGAATAGTTCGTTTATTTAGGGTGAGGTTAGGGAGAACACTTGAATTAAGTGACATCTGAGTAGACTTTATAAAGTGAACGTATAAGTTCTGCAGATACCTGGAGAAAGTCAGAGCTTGCAATAAATAGCCTGGGACATGGGATCATGTCAACCTATCTTCAAGCTCTGATCCCATTTTTAAATTAACTCTCTGATACCTGAAACAACTACTTAAGTTACGTGAATACTAATATACCTCAATCAAAAACTGTGATATGGATATCTATTTTAAATGTTCATATAAAGATTAAAAATTATAAATTTGTTAAATGACAAACACAGCTCTTGAATATAGTAAACGTGTCAGTTCTACTGCATTTTATTGCATTCTGAATATTTTATTGAAGTTGCTTTAGAGTTTTCCGGTATCAAATACAACTATTTTTCTTTCTCTTTCATTTTTCATCAATTTATTCAGCATCAATTTTCAACACTATCTAAGTGGGCCAGGCACTTTTTAAAAACACATGCCTTATAGACAGTTACAGCAGAACCCTGGAACTGCTTGTATTTTCTGTCCAGCACACCCAACGTTGGCACATTTACAATTCATATTATCAGTAAGTAATTTCATGTCTATATACAGCCACTGGAACTTTGTACAATACATATTGGTCCTTGAGACCAATGCATGGCAGCAACATAAATATTTTCAGAAGCAAATACTATTTTGAAGGTGTTTTTGTCCATACATTAAATCTCCACCTTTTGGCCTCATTATGTATTACAAAGATCGCCTTGAGTTATTTGACAAATTGCTTCATTCTATATGTTCTGGAGTAGTTTGATTATTGCTTACATTTTCTCAATACCACTTTTTCAGTGGAAGAAGTAGGGAGCAAAGAGAAAATAAAAAGTGGCTCAGCTGTCTTAAGATGGTAAAAAGCAGATGGATATGGTCAAAATTAGAGTGGGATAAATTTAGCATCTTCCACACTGCATTATTGTTTACCACTGTTTTGTTTTCCTATTTTTACAGCACTAGCAAAATGTTGTCTAGATAACTCTCATATTATTACAGAATAAGGAAGCCCATTATTTATATTGTCACTATATACAAACAATTTAGAAAGTGTAGTCTTATGATATTCACACATTCATAGATTATAGAGGGTCATAGTATGGAGTTTGAGAACAACACTTTTGGAAAACAAAATGACAGGATATATAAAATGTCCATGACCTTGAACCTACTAATTTTGTCTGGAAACTTACCTTTAAAAATAGTTTTAAACATAAGAAAAACTGTACATTTTAAAACAACTGAAAGGTGTAATTGATTTGTTTGCAACTTAGTGGATAAATGCCTGAGAGGATGGGTAATTCATTCTTTTTGATGGGCTTATTTCACTTTAAATTAAATGCCTGTATCAAAACATCTTATGTACCCCATAAATACATGACAGGTAACACTTTTAACGGCCAGACTTCTGGGTGTTTTTTTTTTTTTTTGTGACACTGAAGTTATCTCCTTCTACTTGACAAAGAAATAATACATGAGCAGTTAATAATTATGTTGTATAATAGAAACAAGGAATATTGGACAAAAAGCTAGTGTAAGTGAGCAAAAATAATATGCCCACAAAAATTAAAAATAAAAAAATAAAATGCATGCTTATATTCTTTTAGTCTTAACTATTTAAAGAAATAGTTATTTGGATATTATTGTTATTCAGTTGTACAAGTGCTTTCTATATTCTGGACACTAACCATTTGTTGGATATATGATTTGCAAATATTTTCTCCCATTTCATAGGCTGCCTATTTACTCTGTGAATAGTTTTCTTTGCTGCACAGGAGTTATTTTAAGTTTGATATTATTCCATTTCTCTTCTGTGCTTTTTTTCCTGTAGTTTGGGTGTTACATCCAATAAATCATTGCCAAAACCAATGTCATGAAACTTCTCTGTGTTTTCTTCTAGGAATTTTACAATATCACATCTCACATTTAGATGTTTAAGCCATTTTGAGTTAATTTTTTGTATATGGTGTAAAATAAGGATGCAACTTCATTTTCCATATGAATGTCTTGCTTGCCTAACAATTTGTTGAAGAGACAATCTTTCCCCATTGTGTAGCCTTGACACCCTTGTCAACAAACATTTGATCATATATGTGAGTGTTCATTTCTAGACGCTATTCTGTTCCACTGGTCTGTATGTCTGTTCTATGCCAGAACTGCATTGTTTTAATTACTGTAGCTTTATAATATATGTTCTAATCAGAAAATATGAAGCCCCCAGTTTTTCTTTCTCAAGACTGTTTTGGCCTTTCATGGTGTTTTGAGATTCCATATGCATTTTAGGATGGTTATGCATTGTTACTTTACTAATTTTCTAATATATATTGGAGTTGACAGGGCAGGGAGATCAAATTCTAACTATTTTATGACAATGCCTTGGCTATTCAATGTTATAAAAAGATTGCAAATTCTTCAAAGCTGCAATGCTAGCTGGGCACCTTGTCATCTTCTTGTAGTCCTAACTACTCAAGATACTGATGTGGGAGGATCATTTGAGGCCAGGAGTTCAAGACTGTAGCACACTTTGTGCTTGCCTGTGAATAGCCACTGCACTCCAGCCTGGGCAACATAGTGAGACCCTGCCTCTAAAACCAAAAACAACAAAAGTAACAAAAAACATAAAACAAAGCTACAATATTCTTTCTGCAAGACCCAGTTTCTTGCATAGTTGTAGGTATATTGTTGTTTGATTGCATTTTCATACTAGAATGAAACATTCTAATGGACAAATTTAGAACTCACCTTAATATTTGCTACTATTGTCAATTTTTATAAACCATTTCTATTATTCCATAAAATAAATAGCAACTGTAACATAAATGTAAGCTTCATATTAGCTCTCCTTATTCAGTGCTACTAAAATAAAACTGTCCTGTCTTCTAACTTTTTTCTCCATTCTATATAGGTCTAGAAGTTTGTTTTCTCACTAAAAAAAAGCTTACCCACATTGAGCATTCTGCTATTCTGCTTTTCTTTTTCTTTTTTTTTCTTTTTTTTTTTTTTTTACAGAGTCTTGCTCTGTCGCCCAGCCTGGAGTGCAGTGGTGCGATCTCAACTCACTGCAACCTCCGGCTCCTGAGTTCAAGTGATTCTCCTGCCTCAGCCTCCCGAGTGGCTGGGACTACAGGCGTGTGCCAACACACCCAGCTAATTTTTTGTATTTTTAGGAGAGATGGGGTTTCACCGTATTAGCCAGGATGGTCTCAATCTCCTGGCCTGGTGATCCACCCACCTTGGCCTCCCAAAGTACTGGGATTACAGGCATGAGCCACCATGCCCAGCCTCTACTTTTCTTTTAATTAACATATTTATTTATGAAATATGATAAGCATATGAAAAAAGTAGAAGAAAATATTAGATTATTTTACACTTAAGACAAACAGATGTGTTATTATTTGGCACATTTGCTCAATATTTCTTTTGTTAAATAAAATAAAAATTATATTAATATCTTATCAATTTTTGTATCTCCTTACATAAAGGTTGCTATTATACTAAAGGGAATGGATGTAATTTTCCAGTATTTTAACACTTTTACTGTGATATATATATATATGTATATATATTCATTCAAATAATAATAGCTACCATTTATTGATACCTTACCATAGTCCAGATACTATGCTAAATAATTTATATGCATTAACTCATTAAAATGCTATGCCTACCCTATGCAAAAGTTTTTATATTGTCACCATTTTAAAGATAAATATTTGGGATACGGTGTCATTTTTCTCTAGTTTTGAAAGTTTCAGATTTCACACATTCTTTTTCAACCTTCCTTTTTTCATTCAACCTGCAGTTTATATTTTTATAGCTTGGGAAATGTAAATCATTTATTTTAACTTGGGAATAAACCATAAATGTTTATGTGTTTCCTTAAAATGGAAAACTAAGTCATTTGAAAACTCTGCCATTGCAAACAGTGTTTTGTCCATGTGTACATTGTGCATATGCTTGGAAGTTAATTTAGTATAGAAATTGGAAGTTATTAGTATTAATTATTTAGCCTAGATGTGTGGTTGCTAAATGGTGGCAACACACTTTAAAATTTACTGTAAAAAAATAAACCTTTAACATTTGGCCTGTATTGTTCCAGTTCTACTTGAGAACATAATCCTGTCTCTTTCTTTGGAATGTACAGCATCAAGATGAATGTGGATTTTTACGTCTTCCTTGTTGTTGTGAAATGTCCATCTTTGGAATTGACCCAGTATAAATGGCTGGTGCAAGTGGATACTGCAGCCTTCTTGTGTCAACGTAATTTACACTGACCTTGCTATTAATTTCAGTAGCTGGACACTCCCTGCACATTGATGTGATAAAAGCAGCTGTGAACCAGGCCTCCCAATGAGGTAAAATGCTTCATCACAGTATTACTTGTCCCGTAATCTTCTGTAAAGCCAATTACGCATAATGTTAGATTAGAGCCTGTGTGTCACTTGTGCCTGATTGCCAACTTGAAACTGTAACAATTGACACTGGTTGGGCCACTAAGTATTACCATCTTTTTTCTTCTGAGCTATTCTGCTAGTTATACTTAGGACACTAGGAATTATTAAACTTTTTTCTCTAAATCTATTCTAGCAATACTATGCCATTAAATATATGGCATTATTTTCTCTATATCTTTATCAACACCTGTTTCTGAAATTTTTTTGCACTTTGCAAATCTGGTGGCATACAATATTACCTCATTTTGTATGTAATTTGCATTTAACTAATTACAGTATAACTAATTACAGTGGAATTTTATGTTCCTGCTTGTATTTTATTGTCTATTGGGGTTTTGTGGTACTAATCAGCCATACACTTTGCTCATGTTTCCATGGAGCTATTTTCACATTGATTTTGAAGAGTTCTATACATATTCTGGACTTGCTTTATCAAAGAAAGCCACGAAGGTAAGAAAGAGAGAGAGAGAGAGTAATAAAAGTCACAGTCTTTTGTAGTCTAATATTAGAATTAACAGTTCATCACTTTCACTATATTCTATTCATTACAATCAAGTCAATGTCCACACCTCTCAAGACAAACACATACGTACACACAGGGGTACAGAGGCATGAATGAAAGGAGGCAGGGATCATTCAGAGACATTTCAGAACTTACCTCCCACACCTTACTTACAATTTCTAGTTATCAAAGAGATAATCATCCCCTTGCATCCCTACTTGAAAATAGAAAGGAAAGGGAGAACAATTACGTCAACAATTCAATACAAACTTTTTTAACATAATGATTTCTAGTATCCCAACCTGGAGTCCTTCCATGGAATAGTTATAACTAGATGATGTGAGATAATAGAAATTTTCTTATGTTTATGTACTTTGCACTGATAATGGTTCATTCCATAGACAGGCTATGGTTTAAATGTTTATATAAAATCTTCAATCCCTCTCTTTACCTATGCTTCCTTAGAGCATCTCTCTACAAGTGATTCTACGGTGCTGCCTAATTTATCGAGGCCTTTGGTAGACCCATATTTGGTTATCAAATTATCCTGCCATGATAATATGGAATAAGGATATTACTTTTCCATTATAACTCACGGCAACCAGGTGATGCTAAATCAAAAATTGTTTATTACTTTAGTTCTTTTGTTTTCCTTTTGGCAGATGTATATATTTATTCTTTTATTTTATTTTTTAGATAGATCTACTTGATTCTGAAGCACCATTAGATTCATGGTTGTATTTTATTCCTCACATTTCTATTTTAGGAAACTGGTAATCAAAGCTCTTGGGAGATACCTTTCTTCTTTGCACACCTACATTGATTAGCTGTTTCAGTTTTTATGTAAGCACAAAACTTAGGACATTAAGAGACTGTCAGCCACCAAAAGGTGTTATTTTAAGTTTCTTCTTTTATTTTTATCTAAGTAATAGTAAAAAACTCCCTTCACTTTCCTCTTAACCATCAGCCATGAAAGGTTGTTTCTTTTCTCTTTTGCCTTAAAGTCTCCAGAGTAGAGATTTTGTCCCTGCCTTAGGAATGGTTGATAAAAGAGATTTTCATCCATTGTGAATCTCTAAGGACATGACCTGTTCTCTGCTTCTATGGAACAAGGTGATTCAATTCTATCATTTACAGTCGAGGTGACTGACAATGGAAATTACAGTTTTCCTTTTTAGGGTAACTAAATGTTTGATTCTTTCCTTCTTCCTCTTTCTCTGTGTGGATGGTGTGTGTTCATGTATACACACATACACACACACATACATATATATGCATTATATATATGCATACATGTGTGAAAGATAATATGTATATACAAAATCTATGTACATGCATATATATGTGTATATATATATACACTGTAATAAGAATGTATCATTTCTCAGGACAAAATTAAGAAACTGAAAAACTATCAGGCAGAACACCGTATGCTTTCCATCTTTTTTTCTTCTTTTTTTAGCTTTTAAGTTCAGGGGTACAAGTGCAGCTTTGTTACGCAGGTAAACTTCTGTCATGGGCATTTGTTGTGCAGATTATTTTTTCACCCAGGTATTAAGCCTAGTACTCAGAAGTTATTTTTCTTGATCCTCTCTCCCCTCCTACCCTCCACCTTCTGATAGGCCCCAGTATGCGTTGTTCCCCTCTGTGTATCCATATGTTCTCATCATTTAGCTCCCACTTATAAGTGAGACCATGTGGTATTTGTTTTTCTGTTCCTGTGTTAGATTGTTAGGTATAATGGCCTCCAGCTCCATCCATGTCCCTGCAAAAGATGTGCTTTCGTTGTTTTTTGTTTGTTTGTTTGTTTGTTTATTTTGTAGCTGCGTATTATTCCATGGTGCATATGTACCACATTTTCTTTATCCAGTCTATCATTGATAGGCATTTAGGTTTATTCCATGTCTTTGCAGCCTTCTTTTTGTAACTTATAAATGATCTCTGAGTAAATTGATGGCATAAGCCTTGCAGTGCCCTGTACTCAGAAGCTTATTAAACCCATCTTCTTTTGCAGATGACCAAACCTTGAAGCAAGGATTTCCCGAAGATCTTCCCAGAAATCTGTTTTATGTTTATGTAATAATAGGAATTCAAGTGTCTTGATTACATAGATTTCATCTTGGACACATCTAAATTTAAAAATAAATCTTTCTTGCACAGAGCCCACTTCTGGTTCCCTTAATTCACAGACTGAAGAAGATCTAATCAGCAAATTCATTGAACTCTAAGTTTAGATCTGAAACAACACAAGCAGGGATGAACATGTAATTGTGAGATTGAGTCATTACTTCAGTATTAAAGTATGACTACCAAGCCTCTGGCAGCTTTCCTCTTTCTCAAAACATGCACAAATCCTTAGCAGCTTATCATTCAATGATCTTCCTGGGCCATGGTTTGGAAATCTAGAACCAGGTCATCAATACAGTGATAACATCAACGTTATCATTACATAACACACAGAAATAATTTCCCTCTTTTAATCACTGGCATGGGGAAACGAAAGAAATATTTCCCAGATATCTAAGCCCTTTTACTCTATGCCTATGTTTTCCTAGTATCTTAAAGCTCAAAACCTGTATTATATATTTTACCTATCTGGGGGTACAAAGTAATAACCTAACTCCTTATGATATACTTAAATTTTATTCAACCTTCCATAAGGAAGAAAACACTGAAGCTTGATACTCCCCAAATGAACCTATTTTGTGAAATTATATTCAAAGTAGCAATAGTTTGTCTCTTTTCAGCTGTTTGCCGGAGCAAATTTAGAGAATGAAGTATGTTACCTTGGACTGTCATGACTGATTCTTTGAAAAGGGCTAAACTTGCTGTAGTTGTGAGGATGACAGCAGGAACTCTGCCTAGACCTTCCACTCATTTTGCCATGTTTTCTGATACTGCAGTGACTATGGATACCTAAATTGTGCCTACCATTGCTCTGTCATTTCCAATAAGAGATAATGTACCCAAAGGAACTGTTTCTAGATATCTGAAATACCTGCAAAAAGGGCACCATGACATCTTACTTTTAACACAACAATTCTAAATTACGGATTTAACAAAGATATTCTACAAATGTGAAAAAGGAGATTGAAAACAGCTTGTTTGAAGGAAACAATGAGAAAAAATCAACAAATAACTGTCTTTTATGTTCAAATATTTCAATACTTTTTTACAAAAGTATTACAATATGTTGTCATAGTCTATTCTCTTGTATATCACACTCAACACCACCAAACTGTAAGTTCTGGAGTACAGGGATAATGTCTTATTCACTCTTGAATTTGCAGACATTAGCAAGACACAAATGCTTAATCCATGGTCAATAAATAATGGCTAAATAAATTCATACGTATGTGTATAATTCATCTTCCTTTACTTCCTCTTTTTATATAATACCAAAAGTTTCTGTCAAGCATGCCATTTTACTTCATTTGTAATTCTATCATTTTACATTACTTTTGTATTGACTCTCCCAGTCAATCTAAGAATGGTTTACGTTCTGTTTAAGCCTAAAATGATATAAGTTAGATAAGAATTTTTAGTCATTTCTCTAGTTTGTCTTCTTTGGACAAGTGGGGAAGAGCATTTTGTTATAAACGACATTCAACATTTTACTTCCAAACTGCCAAATAAATTAATAAATAAATATCCTAGAACATTTTTTATAAGCTAAGCACTAGCTAAGTGCATTCTTTATGTAAAAATATATTTAATTCTCACAACCATCATATGCAGTAGATATAATTAACAATTATTCAAAGTTATAATCATAGGTGTAGGAAACTTTTAAATTATATACTTGTGCATAAGCAATTTATATACATTTTTAGATATATACCAGTTATAAACAGATTCTGGCTTCATACACTTTCACACATATATAAGCAAAAACACTGTTTCTCCTGTAAACATCAGCACCTGGGTACATCATAAATAAGAATCTTACCCCCTCAGGAATTAAAGAAACCTCAGCATAGCAGCATAGAGATCTGTGGCCATATGTACTCTACCAAAAGTCTGCATTTAATTTATAAATAAATGACCCATATTATTTACATGCTACAAAATGGGAAGGAAATCTTCCATTTTATAGGCAATTATGTTATAATAGAAAAGATTTTATAGCCATCTTGAAAGAAACAAATGCATAAAAATAATTGCTCATATATATTTTTAAAAACTGAACAGCTTCTATCTTTCAGAAATGTTGCAAGATAATGGTTAAGGTTACCTGATATTATGAGATATTTTTATTGTTTTTCATAGTTATTAGAAAATAAATATATATCCAGGTACATATTTTACTACAACTATTCTTTCAGGCTGAATATCATTACAAAGAAATTTCAGAACAGTTTTAGCTGAGATTAGGAATTTGATAAATCATCACTAATCAATTTAATTCGGTTATCTGGGTATCTCGCCTCATTTTTAAAACAAGATTTTATTGGATCAGTGGTTTTATGATTTTATTTTAACAAATTATAATTGTATATGTTTGTGAAGTACAAAGTGATGCTGTGATATATGTATATAATGTGGAATCATTGAATCAAGCTAATTAACTATCCATCATCTCAAATACTTACCATTTATTTTTCCTGTTTAAATGAAACATTGCACCCTTTGACCAACATCTTCCAATTCACTCCAACTCCCAGACTCTGGTAATCAACACTATTTTCTGCTTCTAAGAGTTTTATTGCTTTAGATTGTACATATAAATGTGAACACATGGTATTTGTCTTTCTGTGCAGAACTTAATTTCCTTAGCATAATGTCCTCCAGGTACATGCTTGTTGTGGCAAATGACAACATTTCCTTTGGGTATATTTACCTAGTGTGTGCTTGTTCGATCAAATGTTAATTTTTTTAAAACTTGTTTGAGGAAAATCTCCATACAGTTGTCCATAGTGACTGTACCAGTTTACATTCCCAATGGCTGTGTACAGGGTTGCCTTTCCTCCACAACCTTATTAACGTTTCTTATCTTTTTGATAATGGCCATTCTGACAGGTGTTAGGTGACAAATTATTGTGGGTTTAATTTGCATTTTTCTAAATGACTAGTGATGTTAAAGGGAGCACAGCCTCTCAAATTTCAACTGGGCAATTCTAAATTATTAGATGTACTTGATTGATATCTGTTAGCCACTTGTACATCATTTTGTGAATTATATCATAGATCCGTTAGCCATTTGTGTGTTTTCTTTGAAGAAATGCCTATTAAGGTCATTAGCTCATTTTAAAATTGGGTTGTTTTATTGGTATTGAGTTATTATATATCAGACATTAACCCCTTATCACATTTTTTGGTTGACAAATATTTTCTTCTCTCACTCTTTAGGTTGTCTTTTAATTTATTAATTGTTTTCCTTCCTGTGCAGAAGCTTTTTAGTTTGATGTTATCCAATTTGTCTATTTTTGCTTTTGTTGTCTGAGCTTTTGGAGTCTAATCCAAATAAACAATAACCCAATTACATGTAGCTGTTTCTGTTCATTTTCTCCACTAGTTTTAGTTTCGGTCATGTGTTTAAATTTTTTTTTTTTTTTTTTTTTGATGTAGGGTCTGGTTCCAAAGCCCAGGCTAGAGTGCAGTGGCATGACCTCAGCTCACTGCAACCTCCACCTCCTGGACTCAAGCCATCCTCCCACCTCAGCCTCTCAAATAGGTGGAACTACAGGTGCATGCCACCACGCTGGGCTAATTTTTTTTTTTTTTGAGATGGAGTTTTATTCTGCTGCCAAGGCTGGAGTGCAGTGACACGATCTCAACTCACTAGAACCTCCACCTCCTGGACTCAAACCACCCTCCCACCTCAGGCTCCTATATAGTTGGGACTGCAAGGCACATGCCACTACTCCAGGCTAATTTTTATATTTCTTGTAGAAATGGGGTTCTGACATGTTGTCCAGGCTGGATTCAAACTCCTGGGCTCAAACGATACACTCACCTCAGTTACCAACGTGCTGGGATTACAGGCATGAGCGAAAGTGCCCTATTTGCTTAATTCTTTAATCTATTTTAAGTTAATTTTTGTATATTGTTTGAGATAAGGGTCCAGTTTTTTTTTCTTCTACCTGTGGCTACTCAATTTTCCCAAAATCCTTTATTGAAGAGATTGTTCTTTTTCCATTGGATCATCTTGGCATAATGGACCATTAAAAGAAGTGGTTTTTGTACTCTCTAGTCTCTTCATTGCACAATGTGTTTTTATGCCAGTCCTATACCGTTTTAATTACAACAGCATTGTAATATAGTTTGAAATGAGATAGCGTGATGCTTCCAGCTTTGCTTTGGTTTGAGAAGGATTGGTATTAGTTCTTCTGTAAATGTATTGTATTCACCAAGGAAGCCATCAGTTTTTGGGTTTTTCTTTGATGAGATACTTTTTATTACTGAGTCAACATTTTTGCTCATTAGTCTGTTTCTATTTTCTATTTTTTATGATTCGGTCTTGGTAGATTTTATATGTCTGGGAATTTATTCCCTTCTGTTACAGGATGCCTGGGGTGTCACTTCACCAGCCGGAAACTCCTTTGGCCAGTGGAACCTTCAGCTTGAGTATTTATTGTGTCCACTGGGCTTGTTCCACCAATTCGGTGTGGCACGTTGCGCTTGGCTCATGCTACTGGCCTGGATCCCACACCTACCAAGGACGAGCCAGGTACCCAGGAGCAAGGGGTGTGTGAGTGAGGGAGCGTGGGGTCTGGCCACTGCACAGAGGCAGGTATGCTGGCTGCTGTGGTGGGGAAGGCAGCTCCAAGCACTGGCACAGGCACTGGCTCCATGTGAGGCTGCAGCTAGACCAGATGTATAGCAAACAGCTTCCGCTGTGGGCACCAGCATCTGGACAAGGGGAATGTGGTGGCACCTGAATGCTTAGAGAGACTAGAAACTGCAGAGCCCCAAAGAGGGTGTTAAAGCCCTGGCTTGGAGAGCCCATAGGTCTGGAATCCCCAGAGGGCCTCAGCTCTTCTCTCTTTCTTATTGGCTGCAATGTGGTGAACAGAGAGGGGTATCTCAGCCCTGTTTGTATTACAGCTCTCTCAGTTCTGCCAATCGGCTGGTACCAAGTTATTTTCCTGCATCCAAAAAGAATGAGGTACATGGAAAATTGGAGGGTGAGCAAGGCAGAGAGGATCTTCATTGAGTGACAGAAAAGCTCTCAGGGGACCTGCACTGGGTAGCTCCTTTCCACAGGAGGTCATCCTGATGAGTGTCCAGCTCTCAGTGGAGAGGAGACCCAGAGTGGGTAGCTGCTTTCCTCAGGCAGGTCATCCTAACGAAGGAGACCCAAATTGGGTAGCTGCTTCTTTCAGCTGGTAGTCCTGATGTCTGTGTACATCTGGCGGGGTCCGGGTATTTTTTATAGGCTCAGCAGGGAGGAAGTGCATGCTGATTGGTCCATGGGTGGCCATGGGTAGGATTAGAAAAAGCACCATAATTTCTCACTTCTCACTCCAGGCCATGACTCCACCTGGAAATGCCTGGCCCTCATGCATCAGGTCTTTCCTGGCTTGAAGGTGGAGCTTCACAAGGGACCTGCCCCTGTCTGCCCAGGAGCCTGTCTGTCTCCCACCACCATCAGTAATGTTGTCCACAGCAGCCAGGCTGTTCCTGCCAAGAGGCACCTGAAGGCCCATACCAAGCCCCCCTCCCCCCTCAGCCTCACTCTCATATTTGTCAGCACCCAAAGTCTGGAGGGGGCCAAGGTGGCAGGGGGATGACATATCAGTGTTGCCCTAAGTACACGCACACCCAGACGGGTCATGACAGTGCCCTGG
The DNA here is from genome assembly GCF_000001405.40 of Homo sapiens. NCBI lineage: Eukaryota > Metazoa > Chordata > Mammalia > Primates > Hominidae > Homo > Homo sapiens. The sequence continues at coordinate 102,968,277 of NC_000009.12, forward strand.
CTCAGCCTCAACCTTGTTCCAAAATCAGAGCAGGCACCAAGAGCAAGGAGAGGCCATGGAGTGGGAGCAGGCACTTCTGAGTCTGTGGGGGGAGATGGGCTTCTCAGGACCCAGGGAGGACAGGGATGCCTGGGTCTGCAGCTGCAACTGGGTGCCTGCAGCTCCCACCTGATCCCAGCTCCCGCTGGCTCCATGAAGAGTGCAGCCCCAGCTGGGTCTCCCCATAGAAGCTGGTGGCCTCTCCAGTCAGGCTGCTGCTGCCGTCACTTCTACGAGGTTATCCAATTTGTTGGCATATAATTATTCATAGGAAAGTTTAAGATATTTTATATTTCTGTGATAACAGCTATAATTTATTTTCCTTCATTTCTCTGATTTTTGGAGTCTTCTCTTTTATTCTTATTCTAGTTAAAGGGTTGTCAATTTTGTCTATCCTTTCGAAAAACCAATTCTTGCATTCATTGGGTTTTCTCTTGTTTTGTTGCCTCTATTTCATTTATTTCTTCTCTGACCTTTATTATTTCCTTCCATCTTCGAACTTTGAGTTTAGTTTGTTCTTCTATTTCTACTTCCTTGAGGTATACAATTCAGTTGTTTATTTGAGATCTTTCTTCTTTTTGATATAGCATGTATTCCTATAAAATTCCCTCTGAGGACTTTGCTACAACCCATAAGTTTTGGTATGTTGTACTTCCATTTTCATTTGTCACAAGATTTATTTTTTAATTTCATTTTTGCTTTTTTTTTCAATGCCTGAACTACTTTTTCTTTTATATGTATATATACTTTAAGTTCTGGGATTCATGTGCAGAACGTGCAGGTTTATTACATAGGTATACACATGTCATGGTTGTTTCCTGGACCCATCAACCTGTCATCTACATTAGGTATTTCTCCTAATGCTATCCCTCCCCTAGCCCCCCACCTCTTGATAGGCCCTGCTGTGTGATATTCCCCTCCCTGTGTCCGTGTGTTCTCATTGTTCAACTCCCACTTATGATTGAGAACTTGTGGCGTTTGGTTTTCTGTTCCTGTGTTAGTTTGCTGAGAATGATGGTTTCCAGCTTCATCCACGTCCCTGCAAAGGCCATGAACTCATCCTTTTTTATGGTTGCATAGTATTCCATGGTGTGTATGTGCCACAGTTTCTTTATTCAGTCTATCATTGACGGGCATTTCGGTTGGTTCCAAGTCTTTGCTATTGTATCTGAGTCATTGGTTGTTCAGGCTTAATTTCCACATATTTGTGATTTTTGAAAGATTTCTGCTGTTGTTAATTTCTAGTTTTATGATATTTTGATCAGAAAAGATAGTTGATATGATTTCAGTTCTCTTGATGTGGTCAGACTTGTTTTGTGGCCTAATATGTGATCTATCTTAGAGAATGTTCCATGTGTGTTTGACAAGAAAATACATTCTGTTACTATTTGGTGGAATGTTCTGTATGTCTGTTGGATCCATTTGGTCTAAATTACCATTTAAGTCCAATGTTTTCTTATTAATTTTCTGTCTAAGTGATCTACCTTTTCTTGAAAGTGGAGTATTGGTGTCCTCCACCATAATTTTATTGTAATTTATGTCTTCCTTAAGATCCTCTAATATTTATATATTTAGAGGCTCCAATGTCTTGTATATATATATTTACAATTGTTTTAACTTCTTAATGAATTAACACCTTTATCATTATAAAGAGACCCCTTTGTCTGTCTTTATGATTTTTTACTTAAAGTCTATTTTCTCTAAGTTGCTATGGTTTAAATGTGTCTACTCAAAAATCCAGTTGTTAAAACTTAACACCTGATGTGATAGTATTTAGAGGTAAGATTTTAAGAGTAATTAGGTCATCATAGCTCTTCACCTAGTGAATGAGATTAGATGCTCTTATAAAAAAACCTGATGGAGGCAATTTATCCCTTTTTGCCTTTCACATTCTGCCATGTGAAAACACAGGGTTTCTTCCCTCTGGAGGATGCTGCATCAAGGTACCATCTTGGAAACAGAGAACAACTCTCACCAGATAAAGAAAAGTGCTGGCATCTCAATCTCAGACTTCTCTAGAACAGTAAAACAACAAAAAAATGTTCTTTATATATTACCTGATCTTGGGTATTTTGTTACTGTGCCACAAACAGACTAAGATGTAAGTGTAGCTACCCCTGTTATCTTTTGGTTTTCTTTACAAACATTAAAATTAGATCTCTTCATAGTGTTCCGTAATTCCCAAAGACTTTCTTCTTTCCTTTCCATTCTGTTTTCTTTCTATTCCTCTGACTTGATAATATTAGTCTGTCTTAAAGCTCCTAAGTATTTTTTCTGCTTGTTTGAGCCAGCTGTTGAAGCTTTCAAGTGCATTTTTCTGTTCCATCATTGTATTCTTCATCTCTAGATTTTTTATTGTTTTTATTGTTTCTTTGTCAAATTTCTTATTTCTTTAACAATAGATTTAATTTTGTATCTGTATATTCTTGTATTTCATTGAACTTCTTTAGGAGAATTATTACAAATTATTTGTCAGTCTTTTCATATATCTCCATTTCTTTAGGATTCATTATTGAAGCTTTATTAGTTTCTTTTAGAGGTGTCATTATTCCCTGATTCTTCATAATCCTTATGTCTTTTTGTTGCTCTCCACACATTTGAGCAGACAGCCACCTTTTCCACCTTTTCCTGTTCTTGGGCAGGATTAGACCTTCGCTTACATAGTCTAGCTTGTGGTTCTAGATGGACCAGCTGGTACCAATCCCAGGCAAGCAGAGTTTGCTTTCTGATTCTCTGGATTACTGGGCCACTGCCTTGGCTCTGAGTTTGGATGGCATTGTTTGCTGGCTTCCACTGTCTGATGAGAATACTGGATGTGTTCTGCAATCTGGCCAAGCTGCTGGCTGGGCACTGTGATTGCCTCTGTTCAGGCCAGGCCACAGAGTATATTTCCAGGCCATGTGGTACTGCTTTTTGAGTTCTACAGTTAGACAGGGTTGCAGGCTGGGCCTCAAGGTTGGGTGGAGTCACTGGTTAGGACAGATAAGACTAGCTTCTATGTTTGGTAGAAATGGAAATTGGAAGTTTGCCTCCCTGCCTGGGTTGGCCCTCAAGGTGGGCTTTGGAGGTGAACAGAGTTGTTTAAACTCCTAGGTAGGGCAGGTCTAGCCCCTGTGCTCTGTTAAAAAAAAAAAAAAATGCACTGTGGTAGGCATCTCTCCCTCGGCTAGGCATTGTAGTAGGATCTGAGCTTAGGCATGGACACTGGCTGTCTAGATATTCAAACAGGTGGAGTTTTCCATTGTTTGTGGGAGCCACTAGTTTGGTTTTGCAGGTGAGCTCTGCCTTTAACTGATACCTCTAACTGGACACTACCACTGGCAGATACATAGAGCTTCCACTAAGATACATGCACTAGTCACTGTGAGTTCCACAACTTTGCTTTGTTTCTACTTGACCCCAAACAGCCTAATTGTGTTGTTACCCACTGTATTATTCATGAGTGGAGACAGGAATGGACTTAATAGGAAGCATCTCTGAATATTAGGGAAGCTGAATTTCACTTCTAGTTCTCTTTTCCCACTATAGAAACTGTGCGCTCAGGAGAATCATCTCTGTATGGTGCCGTGTCAGCCTGGGGGAGGGGAGGAGTGACGTGGTCATAGTGCATACTTCCATTGTACCCTTCTATTGTGGTTTATGCACACACAATATTTTCCACATCAATTAAGTTATAATTATCTAAAAGCTCTTACATGGATTAATCTCTTATTGGAATGAAAAATGTAGGCCAAGAAACAACTGACTGTGTGTGTTCTAATTGTTTTACCAGCTTTGAGTGTTTTGAAGTTCCTAAAGAAGCCTAAGTAGGAGACTGATGTCAGATAAAGCCATTGATGATAATAAAAGTAATAAAAATCAAAGAAGGAAAAATACAATTGTAGCTGAAATGGGATTTGGTTGACTTAAATTGAGAGGTGATGAAAATGTAGCTGAGTTGAAGGAATTGTACATGAGGTCCTAGGAAGGTAGACTGATGAGGAAGATGGCAGAGTATTAGTGTGAAGATGTTTATATTTCATTCTATTTCATTTAAGGTTTTCTGTATGAGAGACTATGAAGCTTACTATTTAGTATCTTTTCAATTCTTCTAACAGAAAAATATTTCAAATGAAATTCAAACCATATTATCTTAAAAATAAAATTATAGTTCTCAAGTTGAAATAGCAATGAAATATTAGAAACACATTTGCTTGATCTTTCCCTTGTCTCATAGTAGTGAAATATGAGCCATCATAGGTTAAAAAAAAACTTAGAATTAAATATATCTAAATTTCTTCCAGTTAAACAGGACCTATGATCCCTAGTTATTTTTTTTACTATATTGTTATATTTGTTACATTATTTTTACCTTATAATGCATCCCCCTTCTTAGTTATGGGAAGAGAGAAAACAACAATGTTATTTGGTCAATTTATTAAGGCATTCCAATGCATCAAGAGCATTTCACCAAATAAGGTGAAAATAACACACCAGAAGGCCATGGTTAACTCACTTCTTGGTAGCACCAACTCAGTGGAGGGTAGATATGGAAAGCTATTCACTGAGGGGTCATCACTCTTAGACTACGATTATTTGAGAGACTTAACTACTTTGGCATGATCTGGGATAAGTGACTGATATTCCTAAAAACTATTTTGAAATACATCATTTGTTTTCAATCACGTGACAATGCTGGATTTTGAGAGAATATTTTCCCATCTTAACCAGTGTTTATTCCAAGTATAACAATTAACAACACTTATAAAAGCCTGTGAATAGAATTGAATAAGCACAGTACATTATTTACCAAGTCTAATTGTAAGTTATGAGCTATGGATAGCTAATGGAGAGAAATGACATGAAATCACTATGTGGGAATAGAGTTGATGTCACAGTGGAAAGCTGTTTTATAATTGCTATAATCTTTTTAGGATATATGTTTATATGTGAGATTCTTGATTAAAACTCTATGGTATAACTTCTTTTATTATATTCTGAGAATATAACTTATTTTTCAATGTTCCTAGAGAAAATTGCTCATTTCATCGGGTATGTATTATATTAACTAATTCTGGAAACATAAATAAAGCTGTTAATAATTGCAGTAAAACGACCAAAAAAGTATTTTGTAAGTTCCTTAGACCTGAATTCTCTTTTCAGCTGTTAATATATGTTATTTTAAACATAATTGCAGGTGGTTATAATTTTGTCATTTTTGTTTTTCTTCAAAAAATTACTCAGCAAGTGCATAGGAATTGTAGTTTTTCATAAAAAGGCAAGATAAGTGTTTAGTTTATTTTCCTATTTAATAGTAATTTCGAAAACAAGGAATTGACATGATACTTCTTTAATGTTTTTCTCATTTTTATTTAGTTAATGTAACAATAATTATAGCGATTCTTCTTGGTCCTCAGCATATCACACATTAGCCAGTGTATGCCTACTCACTAGATAACTCCAGTGTCTTTTTGTTAGGCCCTATTAGGCATTCAACATTCTTATTTTCTAATGAATCAGAATGTTGCAGGCATACCATTAATTCATCCTATGCAGACCTGAGATTATTCATTTTTTTCAAATTACTAATAACATTTCTCAAATAACAAAAATTCTCAAATATTATTTTCCATCAGTGATCCACTTCTAAATTCTAACTCTAGAAAATCCTTTTAACTCTACTTTCATATGTATTATTTTTAATAGATAAGCCAAATAAATCCTAAAACCGAGGCAACTTTCATTTAATTTTATTGACTAACTGAAAGCATTTTACCCAAATTCTGTGTTTAAAATATATGAAAATGTAGGAAAATACACACTTTTATTAACTTTCAGATGTGAAATGGACTTGAATAAAGTGGCATATACAGATGAGAATTCAGTAGTAGTTAAAAGGTTATGAATTCAGGGCTAAGTCTATTTTCTGCTGCTGTAACAGAACACCTGAAACTGGGTAATTTATAATAAAAAGAAATTTATTGACTTAAACACTTCTGGAAGCTGGAAAATTCAATATTAAGGGAACAACTTCTGTCCAGGGCCTTCTTGCTGCATGATTACATGGTGGAAGTGCAGAAAGGCAAAGAGAAAGGCAAGAAAGAGAACAGCATAGGGCTAAGTACACCCTTTCATAACAGCACCAATCTCACCTCTAAGAGTGAAGCCCTCATAGCCTTATTACCTCTTAAAAGTTCTGCCTCTTAAATACTATTAGAATAGCAATTAAGTTTTAACATGGGTTTTTGAGGGGGGCAAAAATTCAAACCATATTATTCTGACCCTGGCACCCCCAAAATTCATGTCCTTTTCATGTACAAAAGACATTCATTCCATCCCAAAAGTCTGAGTTCAATCCAGGATCAACTCAAAAGTATAAAATCCAGAGTCTCATCTAAATCTGATATGGGTGTGACTCAAGGTGTGACTCATCCTAAGGTGAACTTTTCTCCAGCTGTGAGACTATGAAATCAAACAAGTTCTTTACTTTTAAACTGCAGTGATGTGACTGACACAGGGCAGATACTTCCATTTCAAAAGGGATAAATAAGCAAAAAGAAAGAGATAACTTGTCCCAAGTAAGTCCAAAACCCAACAGAGCACGCTACATTAAATCTTTTTGTCTTTTTGTTTTCTGTTTTTTTGAGACAGAGTCTCACTCTATTATTGAGGACAGAGTGCACTGGTGTAATCATGGCTCATTGCAGCCTCAACCTCCCAATGCCCAAGGAATCTTCCTACCTCAGCCTCCCAAGCAGCTGGGGCCATAGGCATGTGCCACCATATCCAGTTAATATTTAATTTTTATTTTTTTGTCAAGACAGAGTTTCCCTATGTTGCTCAGGCTGGTCTCAAACTGGGCTTAACTGATCCTTCTGCTTCAGCCTCCCAAAGTGCTGGGATTACAGGCGTAAACCACCACATCTGGCCTAATATTAAATCTTAAGGCTCCAGAATAATCTCCCTTGACTCCACATTCCACCTTCCAGACACACTAGCGTTCCCAAAGCCATGAGACTTTGGGAAGCCCCAGCCTGTGGCTTTACTCAGCTCAGCCCACACAGCGACTCTGATATGCAGGAGTCTTTTATCTGCAGCTCTCCCAGGCTCATGTTGCTCACTAGCAGTTTTATAGTTCTGAGGTCTTCAGAGAGACCCATCCCCCTCCCCTGGCCCTACTAGGCATTGGACCTAGGGAGGACTGTCTTTGACAGCTCTGTCCTTGCAGCTGATCCCTGCAGCATTCTTTGAAATGTAGCTGAAGGCTGCCATGCTTCCACAGCTTTTGCACTCTGCAGGCCTGCAAAGTTAGCAGCCCGTGCACATCGCCAATGTTTATATGACTTCTATATTCCAGAGTGGTGACTGGTGCTGCACCCAGGTCCACTTGAGCCATGATTGGGGTTGCCAAGCTATGCTGCACCAGAAGGAGAAGAACATACATTTGAGGTGACACAGGCAACAAACTCTAAGGTCCTACAAGAACCTCCCTGGAAACCTTGCCTTCAAGGCCTTAGTGCTGTGAGCCTGTGATGGAGGGGCAATCTCAAAAATCTTCAAAATACTTTCAGGCTCATTATCCCATTGTCTTAATGAATAGCTCCTAGTTTCTTTCTCTCCATACTAATCTTATCAAAGGGTCACTTGGCCACATTCTTTTTTTTCTCTTGAACAGATCTTTTTATTCTTTACATGGCCAAGCTCCAGATTTTCCAAATTTTTGTTCTGCTTACCTTTTGAAGATAAATTGTATCTTCAAATAATTTCTCCCTTCTCCCGTTTTACTATATGCAATTATGAGAAGCCAGGCAGCCCTTTCAACATTTTGCTTAGATATTTCTCCAACTAGATGTCCAAGTTCATTACTCTTAAATTTTGCCTTCCATAAAGCCCTATAGCACAATTTAGCCAAGTTCTTTTTTTTATTATTTTATTATTATTATACTTTAAGTTTTAGGGTACATGTGCACAACATGCAGGTTTGTTACATATGTATACATGTGCCATGTTGGTGTGCTGCATCCATTAACTCGTCATTTAGCATTAGGTACATCTCCTAATGCTATCTCTCCCCCCTCCCCCCACCCCACAACAGTCCCCGGTGTGTGATGTTCCCCTTCCTGTGTCCATGTGTTCTCATTGTTCAATACTGTGCAGCCATAAAAAATGATGAGTTCATGTCCTTTGTAGGGACACGGATGAAGCTGGAAACCATCATTCTCAGCAAACTATCACAAGGACAAAAAAACAAACACCGTATGTTCTCACTCATAGGTGGGAATTGAACAATGAGAATTTGGCCAAGTTCTTTGCCACTTTATTACAAGGATGGCCTTTCCACTAACTTCCAACACCACTTTTCTAACTTCTGTCCAAGATGTCACCAGAATGGCCTTTACTACCTGTATTTCTACCAGCATTATGATCACAACCGCTTAAGTAATCTCTAAGAAGTTTCAGACTTTCCTGGAAGCTCTCTTCTTTTACTAAGCTCTCATTAGAATTGCCCTTAATGCTTCCTTCATGGCAATCTAGGCTTTTTTGGCCTGTTTCTCCAAATTCTTTTACCCTAGCACATTTCCAATCCCAAAGCCAAATTTACATTTTCAAGTATTTGTTATATTAACACCCCAATTCCCTGGTACCATACCAATTTTTGTCCTAGTCCATTATGTGCTGCTATATCAGGATATCCGCAACTAGGTAATTTATAATGAACAGAAATTTACTGGCTCACAGTTTTAGAAGGTGAGATGTTTAATATTGAGTTGCTGAGATATTGAGCAAGGGCCTTATTGATGCTTCATCACATGATGGACGTACAGGAGCGCAAAGAGAGGGTGAGAGAGAGAGAGAGCAAGATGGGGCCAAACTCATCCCTTTATAACAACACCAACCCCACTCATGAGGGTGGAGCCTTCATAACCTCTTCAGTATCCCACTTATTAATACATTACAATGGCAATTAAATTTCACCATGAGTTTTGGAGTTGGGGGGAACAACTATTCAAACCGTAAAAGGGTCAATGTAGGTTGCTGAGAGGCCAGTGACCTTCATGTAATCAGTACTTATTTTTTCACTATATGCTCTATGTATGTCAAGAACATAATTGGAGCTAAAGATACTGCAATCAATAAAACAGATTAAAACCTTCCCTATCTGGAAATTGTGTTATAGTGCCTCTTAGGGGAACAGTGTGTTGAGGTGCTGATGAAAACAAGCATATAGATTGTATTAATAGAAAGATGGATTTTGTAGTAACAATACCATGAAACGGGGAATTAATTAATTTGATAACTTTAACAAGAAATACAAGAAAATAAGTTGGAGTAGTTTGTTTGTAGATACCTAACGTAGGTATGAAAATTACCAATAAAATATGATATAATCAAACTAATACTTTTATTTTAAGCAAAACATTCAAATCTTCACTCTGGCATAATTTTAGTTTTATCAGACAAGGTTAAAAGTTAGGTAACAAAAAGCCAGAATCCTAGAGCAAGCTAAATGTTACTTTGAGGAGAAGACAACACAATGAATTATTCACCTGACAGAAAGAAATCCCTCATCTATGTAAAAACATAGATGTATAAGACAAGAGAAAAATTTTCTAAAATAATAAAAAATAAATTTTCCAACTATATGTCCTCAAGATTGTGTTGTTAAGTGTATAATTTTCAGATAATGTACTTATAAATATTTTAACCCTCTTCATAGCTTCTCAAATATTCTGTTACCATATAGATCTACAAACAAAACAATACATATTATCATTAGAATTGTATACATTTTTCAGTAATACTGTAAAATGGTAGAGTAAGCTGGAAACAAAATTAAAACTTGGTTCTCAAATCTCCAGAAAATATTTTCATCCTAGATAAATACATCATGCGTATTCTTTCTACATAATGTTTTAAATTTTGTGTATAGATGTAAAACTAGCATTTTCAGCAAAAATAAATTCCTTTTAGAAATATGAACTAGCAATTAGACATCTGTTGTACTGTCTTTTCATTACATTCGTTTTTAAGAGTTAACCATAGAATTTGCATATTTGATATAAATACACAATTCATCATAAACAATTATTTTATAATTTTTCCAAATTCAATGTTATAATAATGAAGGCCAAGTTTTGCACTTGAGAACAATTTGAATGAATAATTTATACATTGCAAGTAAAACAATTATTATTTATATAAGTTTACATGTTAAATCTCTGAATAAAGTTATGTTAAACATATATCCATATTCACTCTTATCTACCATATCACACTGTTTTTCACACTCCATATTAAAGTATGTTTTTATGTTTATTTTCATGTGTAAAGTATCACCTGCTGGAGGACAGAAGCCATCTCTTTTAACCCAGTTTTCATTGGTTTAACTTTTATTGTTGTTTTGAACAAAATGGTCATAAATTATTATGACATATTTGAAGAATCAATAAGCAAAGAGACATCAGGTATAAACCACTGAATACAAAGCAATAATTATTAACATTTAATTAACTCTTAATAAATCAATATAATTTTATTTCTAATAAGAACATATAATTATGTGTATGATTTGGACTTTAATATGTTAATTTTAATATCTTATTATATTTTATAGATAAAAATACAAATTAAAAATTATTTGCCCTTTGTTATGTGACTTCAGGAAAACTCCTATTCAACATCAGCACTCATGCTGTTTTAGACCAGCAGTCTATAGTCAGCATCTTACTCAAGATTAGTTCCCAGGAAGTAGTCTTCAGTGTTTCTAGGATGGTTGAAAGGAGTTTACAAGACATCTCTGTTCTTTGTAAACTAACATTATGCTGAAATTTATAATGAAAGTGTTCTGAATCATAAGGAAGTCATTGCTTGTATTTAGGGCTTACCTGCATGGAGTTTATTATTGTTATTATTAGTACTAATATTATTATTAGTATTGTTGTTCCTCTGGCATTTTGCTGGACATGAGATGAAAAATGAAAAGGGTAAATATTATCCCCATATGCTATTATGAATTCTGTCCTTCATAGTTTGTCTTGTTCCATCTAATCTTAATTTCATCCACATTATAATCCCATAAACCATGTTTTTGAATTACAAAAATGTTAACTTTACAGTGCCCAATTTTAAGTTAAGTAAGTCTAATACTGAACCTGAAGAAACTCAGATGAGTAGAAACCTTTTGAAAGGTCACTTTTTCCATTCTTCTCTTAGAATATTCTCAAGGCGCAGTAGTTTTTTTGTTTTGTTTTGAGATGGAGTCTCGCTCTGTCACCCAGGCTAGAGTGCAGTGGCGCGATCTCGCCTCACTACAACCTCTGCCTCCCAGGTTCAAGCAGTTTTCCTGCCTCAAGCTCCCAAGTAGCTGGGAGTACAGGTGCCCACCACCATGCCCACCTAATTTTTGTATTTTTAGTAGAGTCAGTGTTTTGCCATGTTGGCCAAGCTGGTCTCGATCTCCTGACCTCAAGTGATCCACTAGTCTCGGCCTCCCAAATTGCTGGGATTACAGGCGTGAGCCACCGCGCCCAGCCAAGGCACAGTAGTTTTGAAAGACCTACATTCTCTATTAATATACAACATGAAATAGGTCTCGCTTTTTTTGCTATTACTTTGCTGATTTCTGAAGGACAAACTTAGTTTAAATTGCAGATTATGCTATAAATTTATATATCTCTGTGTGTGTGTATATATATATACACACACACAAACATATATATACACACACACATATAAATTTATAGCATGATTATAATGTTTGCAAATCACAAATGGGCCAAGAGACTTTTTTTTAAGAAAACATTTGTTATAGATGTGAAAAAATGAACTGGGCATCTTTAATATTCCAACAAATCATCTAGTCCAAAGTGGTTTCTGCAGAAACCCATATTCAGAAATACAATGATTTGACATTCATAGTACAAAAGACACTTGGATTTAACAGATATTTGCACTCAAAGAATCATCCCCAAACAAATAAGACAGATGTATATTAATACCAGAGTTGAAAGAAATAGTCGGAAAGGAATTTCAGGTACTAGCTAAAATCAATTATCCTTGAAGCAATGTATTTTGTTCTATCATTGCCATTTATATCACAGCTTTCCTGTGCTTGGCATGGCAGAATTTGCACATATGCTATGTTCTTTTATACATTCTAACAGTTCTTTTCACTGAGAGTTTAATTACTATCACTTAAGCAGAAAAACTTTGTAGAAAAAGAGAGTGAAGCTAATTAAATTTGCAGCTAAGCACAAAGGAAGGAAAGCAACCTTCTAGCTATGCAGTTTCAATTATTTTGTGGCCAAAATTATGTAATAATTCTATTATTTATAGATACAAGTCATCAAGAGTGAAATGTTTATCCAATCACCTTTATATTCTTTGGATTTTAACAGATATATAAAATGTAGTATGAAATGTATTCAGGGCATAATAACAATTCCCTGTATTTTATTTTCCTAGATTTCACCTTATAAAATAGTACTTCAAAATTATGAGTGAATTTTGAATGTGGATGTTTTCTGTGGTGCAGAATATGAAAAACATTATCAGTTTTCTTAAAACAAAAAGTATGATTTGTCATTACTGATAAATGTTTATATATAGTGATCATGATTCCTCTACTTGGGCAATCTCTTACAGCATTAAATCACCATTTAAGCCATTATCTACTCCTAACAGTATGATTAAAGCAATAGTTTTCAAAGTGTGGTCTCTTCACTGAGAGCATCAGTTGCATCTAGCAAGTCATTAGAAATGAAAATTCTCAAGCTCTACCCCAGACTCAATAAATCAGAAACTCTGGAGACAGGTTCTATCAATCAGTATTAAACAAATCTTCCAAGTGATTCTGATATGTGATAAGGAAATATTCCCAAATAAAAAAGATGCATATTATTGTAACAATACTGCAGAGAGCACAGGGCAGGGCAAAGTCTAGCAGAACTGTGGGACCAAGGATGCTGCAGTGACCCCAGACCCATAAAGCCTTTGGCAAAAAACTCCAGCCTGGGAGAGCTGCAGGCAAGCCACTCCAACCCATGAGAGCTGACATGTGGGCCGTGACCAGCAAAGCCACGGGAGTAAGTCCACCTGGAGGACTGGGGACCCAATCCCCACCCCAATGTGTCCAGAAGGTGGGACTTCCAGTTGAAGAAGAATATTGTGGAACCTTAATATTTAATATTTGCCATACTGAGTTTTGTATTTGGTAGAGGTCTTTCATCCCTTTAATCTCTTTCACTTTTCTCTTTTAGCATGGAAATAGCTATCTTGTGACTGCCCTACCATTGTAATTTGGATGTACACAACTTGTTTGATGTCACATGTTCACAGCTCGAGGGCAATTTGCCTTAGGATTAATCATATATTTGGTCTCACCCAAATCTGATTTAGATGATATTTAGATGAGACTTTGATGCCAGGCCAAGTTAAGACTTTGGGGGCTGTAGAAATGGAATGATTGTATTTTATATAAGAGAATATATAATTTTGAATTTCAGTGATGAATGCTATGGTCTGAATGTTGGTGTTCTTCCAAAATTCCTATGTTGCACGTGAGTCCTCAATGTGATAATAATAAGAGGTGAGGCCTTTAATAGGTGATTAAGTCATGAGGGTGGCACCTTCATGAATGAGATTATGTCCTCATGAATTGAATTAGTACAAGGCTTAAAGCTTATTAAGCCTTATACAAGAGACTTGAGGAAGTCTTTTTGCCCCTTCCACCAAGTGAGGACCCAGTAATTAGTCATCATTTATGAGGAATGGGCCCTCAGCACATAGAATATGCTGATACCTTGATCTCAGACTTTCCAGTCTGTAGAACTGTGACTAATAAATGTCTGTTGTTTATAAATTACTCAGTCTAACATATTTTGCTATAGCAGCTGGAATGGACCAACACATACATTAATTTACATCAGAGATGTTTATGACTAATCCTTCCACAGTAAGAAAATGTTAAAGTCCTTTACCTGTATGAATAATAAAAATATATTTTCTGTGTCTTTTCATATTCTCTGTTTTGTTGCTTAGCTCAATACTCTTTTGAGGGTTTCATGTAAACTCTAGTAATGTATGCCATGTAAGTGTTTTTATCTGCAATTATAAAATTACTTTGTATATTATTTTTCCTTCACTCTGCTATTGTAATGTAGTTTATAGGTTTATACATCAGGCAAACCAAGCCCAAAATTAATAGAAGAAAAGAACTAATAAAGATTAGAGCATAAATAAATAAAATTGAAATGAAGAAAACAATACAAAACATCAATGATACAAAAGTTGGTTTTTTGAAAAGTTAAACAAAATTGTTAAATTTTTAGTGATACTAAGAGAGAAAGAGAGAAGATCCAAATAAATAAAATCAGAGATGAAAAAACACACATTAAAACTGACACCACAGAAATTCCAAAAATCATCAGTGGTTACTATGATAAACTGCATGCCAACTAATTGCAAAATCTCAAAGAAATGGACAGATATCTAGACATACAACCGACCAAGATTGAACCATGAGGAAATTCAAAACCTGAACAGACTCATAGCAAGAAACAGGATAATATTCTATATATAAGATTTTTATATGCTAGAATATACATATGTAATATTTTATAAATACGTTATATATAAAATTTGTATAGTTTATATAGTTTATCTTTATAAGATCATACAATCTCCAGAAAGACACAATTTTTCTATTTCCTTCTTATTTGGATGCCTTTTATTTCTCTTTCTGGCCTAAATGTTCTCACTAAAACTTCCAGTATAATGTCACATAAAAGTGAAGATAGTGGGTGCCCTATCTTGTTCCTGATTTTAGAAGAAAAGCACTCAGCTTTTTGCTATTACGTTAGCTGTGAGCTTGCCATATATGGTCTTTATTATGTTTAGGTATATTTCTTCTATACCGAAATTGTTGAGAATTTTTATCATGCAAGTATGTTAAGTTTTATGAAACACTTTTTTCTCCATCTTTTGAGATGATAGTATTATTTTTTTAAAAATTAATTCATGTGAATACATGGTAGGTAAAAAAATTTAATTTATGTGGGTACATGGTAGGTGTATATATTTATGGAGTATGTGAGTTGTTTTGATAAAGGCATGCAGTGCCTAATAATCACATCATGGAAAATGGGGTATTCATTCCCCTCAAACATTTATCCTTTCTTTGTGTTACATATAATCCAGTTATACTTTTCTAGTTATTTTTAAATGTATAATAAATTATTGTTGACTGTAGTCACCCTGTTGTAGTATCAAATACTAGATCTTATTCATTCTATCTAACTATAATTTTGTACCCATTAAACATCCCTCACCATCCCCATTACTCTTTCCAATCTCTGGTAACTATCCTACTCTCTATCTACATGAGTTCAATTGTTTTAACTTTTAGCTCCCACAAAGGAGTGAGAACATGCAAAGTTTGTCTTTCTGTGCCTGGTTAATTTTACTAAACATAATGACCTCCAGTTCCATTCAGGTTGTTGCAAATGACAGAATCTCATTTGTATGTCTGTGTGTGTGGCTGGATATACTCAATTGTATATATGTACCTTTTTTTTTTTTATCCATTCATCTGTTGATGGATGCAGGTTGCTTCCCAGCCTCCAGAACTGTGAACCAATACATTTCTGTTCTTTATAAATTACCCAGTCTCAAATATTTTGTTATAGCAGCATAAATGGTCTAAGAAACTGGTACCAGAGAAGTGAGGTGTTGCTATAACAAATACCTAAAAATGTGAAAGTGGCTTTGGAACCGGGTAATGGATGGAGGCTGAACAATATTAAAGTCAATGCGGGAAAATCCTGTATTGCTGTGAACAGAGCATTAAAGAATATTCCAATGAAGACTCAGAGAATGAGACCTGTAGACAAAGCTTCAGTTTTAGAGGTTATCTAAGTAATTCTGAACAGAATGCTGGTACAGATTATTTAGGTGATTGTGAAGAGAATGCTAGTAAAAACATGAACAGAAAAGTGTCATACTAAGGAGATATTACCTGAAAATCAGGAATGTCTTATTGGAAACTGGAGGAAAAGTCATCCCTGTTAGAAAGTGGCAGCGAACATAGCTGAATTGTGTTTATGTACTAATGCTTTGTTGAAAGCAGAATTAAAGAGTGATTAAGTAGGATATCCGGCAGGAGAAATATATGTGTAAGCAAAGCATTTAGAGTGCTACATGGTTTCTCTTAACTGCTTATAGTAAAGTATGAGGAGAGATAAAGAAATTAAAGATGAAGCTTATAATTAAATGGTAACAGAACGGAAATATTTGAACAATTTTCTGCTTGGTTAAGTTATGAAGAATAAAATGTGATGTTTGGGAGAGAAAATCAAGGCTGTGGCCTTTTATTAAAGAGATTAATGACCAGGTGCGGTGGCTCACGCCTGTAATCTCTGCACTTTGGGAGGCTGAGATGGGTGGATTACGAGGTCAGGAGTTCAAGACCAACCTGATCAACATGGTGAAGCCCCGTCTCTACTAAAAATACAAAAATTAACTGGGCGTGGAGGCGCATGCCTGTAATCCCAGCTACTCAGGAGGATGAGGCAAGAGAATCACTTGAACCTGGAAGGCGGAGGTTAAAGTGAGCCGAGATTGCACCACTGCTCTCTAGCCTGGACGACAGAGCAAGACTCTGTCTCAAAAAAAAAAAAAAAAAGTGAGATTAACATGGATAGAAAGAGTCTAAGTACTATTACTCAAGAAAATGTGGTCATGACAGAAGGCCATAGCCCTACCCAGAACTGGAGCTGATTTTGGGAACAGTGAAAAATATAAAAGTACAAGCAGCAGCAGGAATGCCTTGCAGGCATTCCTAATCTCCAGTGTGGAACAAGGGAAGCCATTCCTTATTTATGTCAGAAGGGAGCTCAGAGAAGTAAGCCAACTAGCTTAGACAGGGGTAGAAGTTTGAAAGAAGCACCCAGCTGAAATTCATGATATAATCTCAAGTAGGTATGAACTCCGTTGATCAGAATCTGAAAGGGGAAAAGTGGGAGGGAGCAGGAATTGTGCTGCAGACAAAAGCACAGAAGCTAAGCACCCAGCATTGTAGTCAGACAAGGAGGGGCATGTCCTGAAAGCCATAGTAGCTATAAGCTTATGGCCTGGGCAGGTCTGAGTTCTGTGTGCAGACTGCCTGAATCTTAACCTGGGGCTACTAGTGAAGCATTGCAGGAGTGAGATTTGCCTTTCCAACGCCTGGGAGCTGGGTGAGACTTACTGCTGCCTGCTACCTCTCCACTCTCCTTGCAAACTCTTCTGTGCAGCAGAGACAGTTATACTCCCCTCTGGAACGTTACCTGAGAGGCCTGAGAACTAGCCATTGACACACACAGGAGCCACATCTTACCTGGCATGTGGAGGGTCAGATTACAGAGCTGTCTGACCTAGCCACCATCTGGCCCTCCACTTGCACTGGTAGCTTAACACAAAGGATATAAAATTGGGGGAGATTTATAGCTCTGCTCATTGCCTGAGGAACCACAATACCCACCCTGGGCAAGCAAGGGTATGCTCAAATCTCACTGCTACTACTGCAGCTGGTGCTTTTTGCAAGCACCACCTTCTCTCTGGAAGCCAACCTACACAGTCAATTACAGCATCTCTGGGTAGAATGACACCGTGCCTAGAAAGGACAAAATGAGTGTGCAACTTCAGCTATCACTATTGCCTACAAATCCCTAGATAACCAAAGGTTCTGGGTCTGTCTACATGATAAGTTCACTACTATTATAACCAGCATTCAAGAAAGCCAGCACGCTAAGCTTTTCTACAACCAAGGAATCTCAAAGTGTGTACATCACTCCCCTGCCACCCCTATTAGAATTGGTGCTGCTTCCCACTGTTGGGAGTCTTGAGGATAGGTTACACCACCAGATCCCTTGCAGATATTTCCCAGCACCAGCCTGGGGTGTGGCAGCCCCACTGGGTGGCTTGACTCAGAATAATAATAGCAGTCACTGTAGTCTGGCTGTCAGGAACTCCTAGTGCCAGGAGAAGGGAGGGAGCACCACATCAAGGGAACTCCCACGGGACCAAATAATCTGGATGGCAGGGCTTGGGTCCCAGATCATTTCATTGGTGGGAATTTTCTTATAGCAGAGACACAGTGGCAGTGCTGGGCTCAGCAAGGAAAGTCTGCACCTCTACCCTAGCAGTCAGGCAGCCTTGGTACCATGAAGGGTCTTAGAGAAGGGTTCGTCTTTCACCCTTTGACCACTACTGCAGACACAGGAGAACCCACAGGAGCTCAGCATGGATGCACTTACAGGCAGCCTTCCTGAAACACTTCAGGGTGAGTGCTTCTCAGGAGGAGCACTCTCCAGGTTCAGGCTTGCATTACAGGCAGTCACAGTTCCTTTCTATTTGGAGCATTAACACTTCTATAGATGAAAAGAGGTGCCTGTCTGATCTGTAATAGCCAGAACACTGCAGCAGAAGTGAGACCATGAAGTGAATAGCTTTTCTGCTGGCCTGGCAGAGGAGCTGAAGTAGCTCTCACCTTTCACCCTGATAAGACTTCAGTGCATCTAACTTGGGCTCCTGCAGCCATCTTCATCAAGACAGCGATCTCTGCCCACCACTGGGTATTGCAACTACCCACCCACCGTAGCTACAACAAACATGAAAAAATGCTCACCATCACTAATCATCAGGGAAATGCAAATGAAAACCACAGTGAGATCCCACCTTACTCCTATAAATACGGTCATAATTAGAAAGTCAAAAAACAATAGATGTTGGCATGGATATGGTGAAAAGGGAATACTGTTACACTGCTGGTAGAAGTTTAAATTAGCATAACCTCTATGAGAAACAGTATTGAGAGTCCTTAAAGAACTAAAAGTAGATCTACCGTTTAATCTAGCAAACCCACTAGTAGGTATCTACCCAAAGGAAAAGAGGCCTTTTATGAAAAGGACATATGCACACACTTGTTTATAGCAGCACAATTCACAATTGCAAAGACATGGGACAAACCTAAGTGCACATCAACAAATTGAACAGGTAAAGAAAATGTGAGATATATATATATATATATATATATATATAAAATGAAATAGTACCCAGTCATAAAAATGAATGAAATAATGTCCTTTTCAATAACTTGGATGGAGCTGGAGGCCATTATTCTAAGTGAAATAACTCAGGAACGGAAAACCAAATATTGCATGTTCTCACTTATAATTGTGAGCTAAACTATGAAAACGCAGAGACATAAAGAGTGATGTAATGAACTCCAGAGACTTGGGAGAGAGAGATTGGGATGGGGGTGAGAAATAAAAGCCTACACATTGGGTACAGCATACACTACTTGGCTAGTGGGTGCACTAAAATCTCAGAATTCGGCCTTATAGGATCCATCCATGTAACCAAAAGCCATTTGTACCCCAAAGGCTGTTGAAACAAAAAATATGAAATATATGTATGTATACATACATAAAACCAACTTTTAGTAAGTAAAAGCATGGTACTAGCATCAAAAAAAGACATATAGACTAATGGGACAGAATAAGGAACACAGAAATAAAGCCACACATATTAATATAAACTCAACCAATCTATGACCTGGGTACCACAAATATGCGATGGGTAAAATATGGTCTCTTTAAAAAATGTTATTTGTTAAACTGAATATGCATAATATTGAAAATGGACATTTGTCTCACCCTATATAAAATATCAACTTAAAATGAATGAAAGATTGAAATGTAATACCTGAAATTGTATATTGACTAGAAGAAAAATAGAGGAAATGCTTTTTGACATTGTTCTTTATAATTTAATGTGTTTCTCAAGTGATGAGAAACTCATTTAACCTACAAAGACACTCATATACTGAAAGTGAAAGAATGGAAGAAGGTATTCTATGTAAATGAAAATTAAAAGAGTGCAGTAGTTGTAATACTACTGCATATCATAATCAGATAACATAAACTTTAAGTCCAAAAATGGTTTTCAAAAGTACAAATAAAACCATTATATAATGATAAATGGGCCAATACAACAAGAGGATATAACGCTTGTAAATATATATGTCCCCAACACTGAAGCACCTAAGTATATAAGAAATATTAACAGAATTAATGGGAGAAATTGACTGCAATACAATAATAGTGGGGAACTTCAACATCACCTTTTTTTTTTTTTTTTTTGCATTGTACAGATTATCCAGACAGAAAATTAGCAAAGATGTATCAGGGTTAAACTTCACATTAGACCAAATGAACCTAACAGACATTTACAAAACATTCCATCTGATAGCTGCAGAGTACACATTTTTCTCAAAAGCACAAGAAACATTACCCAGGAGAGATCATGTGTTAGTTCGCAAAACAAGTCTTAACAAATTTAAAAACATTGAAGTCTTATCAAGTATCTTTTCTGATCACAATGGAGTACAACTAGAAATCAATAAATAAAAGAACTTTGGAAACTGCAAAAGTACATGGAAATCAACCAATATGCTTAATGGGTCAACAAAAGAATTAAAAAGAAAATATAAGGGCTGGGTGTGGTGGCTCATGCCTGTAATCCCAGCACTTTGGGAGGCCAAGGCAGGGGAATCACCTGAGGTCAGGAGTTAAAGACCAGCCTGGACAATGTGGTAAAACCCCGTTTCTACTAAAAATACAAAAAATTAGCTGGGCATGGTGGTGCATGCCTGTAATCCCAGCTATGCGGGAGGCTGAGGCAAGAGAATTGCTTGAACCCAGGAGGCAGAGGTTGCAGTGAGCTGAGATAGCGCCATTGCACTCCAGCTTGGGCAACAAGAGCAGAACTCCATCTCAAAAAAAAAAAAAAAAAAAAGAAAGAAAGAAAAGAAAAGATATTAAAAAAATGTGAAACGAATGAAAATGGAAAAACATCATACCAAAATCGATAGGATACTGCAAAAGAAGTTTTATAGTTCTAAGGAAGAAGTTTATAGTAATAAATGACTGCCTCAAAAAAGTAGAAAGATCTCAAATTTAGAATCTAAAATTACACCTCAGGGAACTAGGAAACCCAGAATAACCTAAACCAAAATAAGTAGAAGAAATAATAAAGACCAGAGCAGACATAAATAAAATAGAGACAAAAAAAAACCCGCTACAAAAGATCAATAAAAGAAAAAGCTGATATTTTGAGAAGATAAACAAAATTGGCAAAGCTTTAGTTAGATTAACTAAAAAAGAGAGAGAGAGATGACTCAAGTTAAGTCAGATTAAAAAAAGAGACATAATAACTGAAACCACAGAAATACAAAGGACCGTACGAGACTATTGTAATAAACTATATGCCAAAAAATTGCAAAACATAGAAGAAATGAATAAATTCCTGGGCACATGCAATTTACCAATATTGAATCATTAAGAAATCCCAAACCTAAACAGACCAATAATGAGTAACAAGATCAAAGCATTTATAAGGTCTCCTACCAAAGAAAAGCCCAGGACTTGACAACTTCACTGATGAATTCTACCAAATATTTAAAGAACCAAAACCAATTCTACTCAAACTATTTCAAAAAAAGTGATGAGATGAGAATATTTCCAAACTAATTCTACAAGGCCGGCAAGTACACAACAACAAAATGACTACAGGCCAATATTCGTCATAAACATAGATGCAAAAATCTTCAACAAAATACTAGCAAACTAAATTTAATAATACATTAAAAGATCATTTACCATAATCAAGAGGGTTTTATTCCAGGGATGTAAGTGTGGTTCAACATATTCAAATTAATGTGACACATGACATTAACAGAATCGAGGACAACAACCATGTGATTATTTTAATAGATGCTGAAAAAGGGTTTGATAAAATTTAACATCCTTTCATGATAAAAACTCTCAACAAATTAGGTATAGAAGGAGCATACCTTAATACAGTAAAACCCATATACGACAAACCCACAGCTCATATCATTCTGAATGGGGAAAACTTAAAAGATTTTTCTCTAAGATCTGAAACAAGATACCAATTTTACCCCTTTTATTTGAAGTTCTAGACAGAGAAATCAGACAACAGAAAGAAATAAAGGTCATTCAAATTAGAAAGGAGATGTCAAATTTTCCCTCTTTGCAAACAACATGATCATATATGCAGAAAACCCTAAAGACTCTATCAAAAACTGTTAGAAGTAACACATACACTTAGTAAAGTGGCAGGATACAAAATCAACAGACAAAAATAAGTATCATCTGTGTATGCCAATAGCGATTCATCTAAAAAAATAAATCATGAAAGCAATAGCAACAAATGAAATGAAACAAAATAAAAAGGGAAAAACTTAAGGAGTTGAATGATCGCTACAATGTAAACTATAAAACACTAATGAAGGAAAATGAAGAAAACACAAATAAATGGGAAGATACCCAGTGTTCATAGATTTAAAGAATTAGTATTCTTCAAATGTTCATATTACCCCAAATAGCATACATTCAATATAATATTCATCAAAATACCAATGGCATCTTTCACAGAAATAGAAAAACAATCATAAGCTTTGTATAGAAATGCAAAAGATCCTGGATAGCTAAAGAAATCTTGAACAAAAAGAACAAATCTGGAGGCATTATACTATCTGACTTCAAGACACACTACAAAGCTACAGTATCAAAAGTAGTATGCTGCTAGCATAAAACAGACACATAGCCATTGAAACGAAGACAAACAAACCTAGAAATAAATGCATGTACTTACAGCCAACCTATTTTTGAAAAACGCACTAGGAAAACGCATTGGGGAATGGTCAGTCTCTTCAATAAATAGTGCTGGGAAAACTGGATATTCTACAGGCAGAGGGAATGCAACTACACTCCCTACTTCTCACCATAAAGAAAAATCAACTCTAAATCCATTGAAGACTTAAAAAAAAAGACCCAAAACTATGAAACCCAAAACTATGAAATTACTAGAAGAAAACAGAGAAAAAAATTCACAAACCTGGACTGAACAATGATTTTTTGTTTAAGACCTCAAAATCACAGGCAAGAAAAGCAAAAATAGACAAATGGGATTGCATCAAATTAAAAAGCTTCTGCAAGATAAATGAAACAATCAATAAAGTAGAAACAACCTACAGAAGTTAAAAAGTATATATCCTACAAGGGGTTCATATCCAAGATACATAAGAAACTCAAACAAGTTAATAAAATAAAATGAAATAGTTTGATATAAACATGGGCAAAGTACCTAAATAGACATTTCTTAATACATACAAATGGCAAACAGGTATATGAAAAAACTGCTCTTGCAAATCAAAATGACAATGAGATATCACCTCACCACAGTTATAACGGCTATCATTAAAACAACAAAACCTACCAAATGCTGGTGAGAATGTGGATGAAGGGCACATTGTTGGTAGAAATGTAGATTACTATAGCCATTACATACAACAGTATGGAGGTTCCTCAAAAAAGTAAAAATAGAACCATCATACAATACAGCAATTCCATTACTGAGCAAATAGCCAAATAAAATAAAATAAGTATGTCAAAGACATATCTGCACTTCCATGTCTATTGCACCTTTTTACTGTGTTATCATAAAAAAGACTCAGTAAACACAAATTATAAACTATAAAACACTTACATATATACACATATACATTTAAAAACTAGAATATTTATGCTTGAAGACATAGTTACTAAGCTCAAAACAACCACAAAATACTTCTGTGTTATTGTAGTGTTGAAGCTGGATAGACATTGGCAATATCTTAAGATATCATAAAAATTATATATATGAGGCAGATATATTTCCATTAAGCCTCAAATACTAATACTATTTGCCATAAAACACAGTGAAATCTCATCTTGTTATAATAACATGCGTGAACCTGGATGACATTTTGCCAAGAGAAATAAGCCAGGCACAGAAATATAAACTCTGAATGATGTCACTCATTTGTGGAATCTAACACAAGATGATCTCACAGAAGTGAGGAGTAGAATAATGGTTACCAGAGGCTGGGGAGAATAGCGAAAGGGAGATATGGGAGAAGTTGGTCAATAGGTACAAAATTAGACATGAAAATAAGTTATGGTGTTCTATTACACAGTGGGGTGACTATAGCAAATAATACTGTATTACGTATTTTAAGGTAGTTAGAAGAAAATATTTGAATGTTGGTGTGGTTTGGATCTGTGCCTCCACTGAAGCTCATGTTGAATTGTAATCCCCAGTGTTATAGGTGGGGTTTGGCGGGAGGTAACTGGACATGGGAGTGGATTTCTCAGATAGTTTAGCACTATCCCCTTGGTGCTGGTCTCATGATAGCGAGTGAATTCTCGTGAGATCTGATTGTTTTAAAGTGTGTAGTACCCACACCCCCACGACCTGTTGCTCCTGCTCTGGCCATGTGACATGCCTGCTCCCACTTTGCCTTCCACCATGACTTCAAGTTTTCTGAGGACTACTCAGAATCCAAACAGATTCCAGTATCATGCTTCCTGTACAGCCTGCAGAACTGTGTGCCAATTAAACCTCTTTTCTCTATAAATTACTCAGTCTCAGGTATTTCTTTATAGCAACACAAGCATGGACTAATACAAATGTGATCACCACAAATAATAAATGTTTAAAGTGACGAACGTGCTAATTACCGTGGTTTGATTATTATACAATATATACATGCATTGAAAACCCACAACTGTACCCCATACATATGTACAATTATTACATGTCAATTATAAATAAAACTTTTGGAAATGATACAAAGTATTATACTGTGTAAAATGTCTTAGAATGCATTTAATAAGGTGATTTCTACATTTATATACCCTTTTTATTGTCTGAAATCTTTTGTGAAACAGAGGGAGATAAATTGATGATACATGAATAGAAAGACAGATTAATAAGTAGATATACAAATCATACATATAGACACATTATATATGCACATGCTACATAAATATGTGAAACACAGATTCACTGAAATTATTACAAGCTTGAAGAATCTACAATTATACATATTGATTTTAAGGATGAAATTATAAGCCATGTTTCTGAGTTAATAACGTATTGCAAATTCTTAGGAAATATATCTTGTTCAAGGACAACCTCCCCTAACCTTTACATTGTTATTATAGAAAAAATGAGTTAATGTATACAAATAACTGTATAATCTTTAAAACACTAAAAATGTGTATATATACACATTTATAAAGTAGAATATTTATGTTTGAAGACATGATTTCTAAGCTTAAAAACAACCACAAAAACATTAATATATGGTTATAGTGCTGATGCTGGATAGACATTAGCAATATCTAAAGATATTATATATATATTTATATGGCTGATATATATAAATATATGGCTAGTATATTTTGATATATTTCTATTAATCCTCATATTCTATAGTAGACTTTTAGTCTTAATATTTGATATGTTGTAGGCAAAATTTTAAGGCTCCCAACAACTTCAGAGTGTGGGCAGAATTTGTGAATAACAGGAGATAGCATTCCCATTATATGCTACATTATGAAGTACAATTGATCCTTAAGTTAAATACATTATCTAGGTTGCTTGAATCTAAGCATTTGAGCCCTTTAGGAAACAAAGGTTTTCCTCAACTGATAGTGGTTAGGAAGGCTGAAAAAAGATAAGACTGATTTAACTATGAGGACTCCATGAAATATTTCAGGTTTGAAGATGTAGGGGGATGTATTTGAGAAGGAACTTAGGCAGTTTCTAAGCACAGAAAGCAGCTCATAGCTGACAGCAAGGAAGAAAACAGAGATATCAGAATTACTGCCACAAGGACTTAAATTCCACCAGCTGAAATGTGCTTAGGCACTGATTCTTTCTTTGAGTCTCCAGGTAAGACACAGTTCAGCTGACAATTTGATTTCAGTCTTGTGAGACCCTAAGCAGAGGACCTAGTTAAACCTGCCTAAGCTTTTGAATTATAAAATTATGAGATAAAAATTGAGTATTGTTTTATGTCTTCAATTTGTAATAATTTGCTATGTAGCAATAGAAGACTGACACATGCTCATTATAAAAATATCATTGGCTAAGATATTACTAGATCATACACATTTAATTAAGAATGACAATAAGAGATTAATTAAAGAGATGATAATGCAGAAGGCAAGTATTGCCTGTTGCCCAGTCATTATTTAGATTTTAATGTATGATGATAGAGTCAATGCATTAGAGATTAATATTTTCAAAAGCCACTATAGACTATAAAATGCTCAACAAAATATTATAGAATTAGACATTATACTTTACTTATTAAACTATCACTTTTCAGGAAAACTTCAGTAGATATTCTCATTAAGTCAGATAGTGAAGTAATCAGATCACAGAAATCTAAATTATGGAAAGGCTCCCATCCCAGCTCCAATGCCTCTATAATTTATCATTGTGTAAGATCAGCTAGAAACTTTGAGTCAAACTACTAATATTTCTGTAGTTTACCCCTTATAGAAGCTTATATTTAATAAAATTATTTCTTAAGACAAAAAATAGCTAAGATATTTTAAAAAGAGCTAAATAAGAGCAACATGTTTAAATGCCTCTCTATATAGTACTAGTATTCATTTATTAGTGGGGTAAGATTATGAGTTTAATAAAAATGTACTAACTCATATATTTATAAGTTTAAAAAGCATATAGCTTTGTTTAAAATATTCTATGTATGAGAAAACAATACGTTTAAGATGAGAGAAAGACATGTAAAGTTATGCATTGATTTAACAAAAGTTACAGGAATGAAAGGGAATTTAGGATTACAGCTGATCCTCACAGATAAATGTTTAGACTTACCTTTTTTCCATATCAGTCAATAAATTACAATTACATGAAAAAAATAAAACAAATATTTTATTAAAGTGTAAAATCAATTGATTACTTTTAAAACTCCTAGCTAGATTTAGTCAGTAATAAGTGAAAGTAAATATTAATCTTAGAATTTTAGAGAACATAAAAACACAAGTGACTCCTTTTGTTTTACCCCTTTAATTCCAAGTGCTCTTGGCTTCTTTATGATGTCACCTTTCAACATCACCAGTTTGAACTTACAATACTTAAGTCCTGGCAAGTCATAAGTGGGGAAAATGTCTCTCCCAAGATTGTAAGTCAAATTTTATGTTTTAAAATAACTGAAATACTCGTTAGCTTTACATTTAACTTCTTTAGTATGAAGAGATATTTATTATATTATTATGATGCCATTCATAAGCAAAAGATAATGTGTTTAAGCAGACAAAGATTCTCAAGCAACATAATAGATTTTTTTGATTTAAGACATAGCTAGTGCATGCATTTCAGTAAAATAGATACCTGGCTTTGGATAAGTCTTTTTTGTTTGTTTTTTTACTGCTAGTCTTACTTGATTTTTTTATCACATTGCATTTTGAGTAATATAAAATAAAATAATTCATGATTTTCAGTCAGGGAACCACCTTGGAAATTTCTGTGAATATTTTTTGTGTATGTAATAGTGACTGAGGAGTGTGACTGAATTTTAGAGGAGGCATTATATCGCAGTGTTAACCTTTAGTAAAAAGTGGGGCAGCTCTATCCAAATGTGACCAACTGAATACTAGTGGTATCCCTCTTGCAAAATATTGAGTATGTGGAAGTACTTTGTAATGTAAAGCATATAATCCAGACATGAGAAGTTATATGACAGTAGTTTACTTATGCTTAATTTATTCTGTGTCAAAATAAGGTAGGTAAAGAGCACGTTTCAATTCTGTAAACCCTTTTACAGAGGACATGCAACAAAGGTGAAGGAATGGAGTTTTGTAATATAAAGTATGGGTGGGCCTTAATTTAGCAGTATTGTTAAAGGAAAGATAAAACATGAATATTAAAAATAAAATAGGCTTTCCATAGATACTGGTGCCCATTTTGTTATAAAACAATCATTAAAGTATAATTTTTGGTAAAGGTTTAAATGCATTTGTCATGATTACTTTAGAAGCTGAGTAAATTGATGCCTACTATGCAAAAATCTATGTTCTGGCACCTAACATGGCAGAATTACACTGTATTTTAATTACTTTCAAATATATAAGCACTGTAAAATATCGATGGTATTATTGTTATCATGAGCATCAAATAGCTTTCAGAGAACTTGACCACAATGGTTAGAAACCTCTTTTTGGTCTTATGGCTATTTTTTATGGTGTTATTCTAGTGTAATCCCAAAACATTCTGGTTTTTGTAGGAGGAAACTGATAGAAATCATAATCAAATGGCCTCACCATTAGCCAGAAAAGCATACATAAAAATTCTTAATAACAAATTAGCATATTTCTTTGAGTTCAAGTGACAGCTCCCAATTCATTGAACACGCAAAATTTAAGATGCAGAAAATTAATTTTCGACTCCATTTGTCTTTTCACTGAATTCTTCTAAGGATGGCAGAGCCTTAGTTTTGGACTTAACATTTCTGTGCCTATGGCTATCAACTTGTATGTGATAAAGAAAATTTTTCTGTTTGAACTCAGTTTTTCCTTTCCCACTTATTCCTTCTCTAATACCTTTGCTCTATCCAAACCTCAACTATACCATTTAATAGTTTCATCACTTCTGGCCTTGGCCTCAAATTTAGGTTGTGTTAGTCAACTCAGCCCATTTATAATGTTGAATAGAACTAAGATTTCTGAAACAGGTAGGAGAGGTTATCACAAAAATTTGGTGTGAGATAGGGTATCTAAATATATGAACATTTAAAATTCCAATATTAGCTTCCCAATCTCGTATCTAATGTATATTTTATGTTTTTCTCTCTATTGAGTAGCATTACTAAAGTCGTCTCTTACTATCCTGGTCTAGGGATTCACCTTGATGTAGACAAGGTTTTATAAATCCTGGCACCACTCACATCGTAGTCTAGAAAACTTTTTGTTGGAATAGAGGATTAGTAGGTGCTGGGGGTAGGGGAGATCCAGCATTCTGTCCATTGTAAGATGCATTATAATATTTTTAACAGTATCCCTGGTCTCTACCAACTAGATGCTAGTATCATCACACGCACATACACATAGACAATTGTGACAAGGAAAATGTCTTCAGACATTGCAAAATATTCTCTGGGTGAGGAGTTCGAAATAAATCCATGCTAAGAAACACTGCTTCAGAAAATGCTAGAGAAAGACAGAGAATCTTACTACACACAGAGCCATTCCTCAGCAAGACAGTAATCCTGGGGCAGTTGACCTTGCCTTTACACAGAGACTCCTCTAGCAAATACAAGAAGAGAAGCTCAGGCTGCAGTCAGTTCCTAGAAAACTTTCTACCATGTCTTTTATGGTCTTCTTTTCCCTGCAGCTGATGCAGATTCCAAAAATCTAGTCTACTAGCAAGATATCTGGCAATATGCATACAATCAGGAGGTCTATGAACAACTCACATGTAACTTGGGAAGATATATCATTTAAATCCTTTGACTTTGAATCCACTATATATTTTTAAAACACATCTAAGCAGAGATACAGTTACAGGCAAGAGGAAAGATGGGTGGATTTTGTATTTAGATTAAAATATAACCCAGACTAAAAGGAAAAATAATCAGAAAAACAAACTTGGTTAAAGGTTTACCCCTGAAAAAAATTTTTTATGGTGATAGAATAGAAATAGATTTTTCTCTTAAGAAATAAAGTCCCCCATGTCTCTTGCTTCTCTACTTTTTATTTCAGAAAACTTAATCCTAGTTTTCTTTTCAAAGTTTCAAATACATTATATTCTACATTGTTGACAATGGGAAACCTTTACCTCAGAACATGCACAGTTACTGAAAATGATTTTGAAGTGACTGAATATATAAGCTTGAAGTGAAGGTGGAATTTTAGCTTCTACATGCCATTTAATCTTGGTAAATATGAGGCCTTAATTACTGTGTTTCCTTATATATAACCAGACACTTTAATTTAATTTAAGCATTAGTCCTATTAAAAAACAACAACAACCTTTTGACTTAATAATCATTTTTCCCTCTTCTTAGGTTAAGTCATTAAATTAGATCTTATGGATTTAATTTAAAATTGTGAAAATACATTTACATTCATATAAATATATCTCAAAATAAAAATAAGGGATATACTAAGTTTATTTTCAATAAGACAGTTTGTAAGTTTCTTTAATAAGAATGTCAAAAATTGAATGCAAATGCACCCTGACCTAGATAATTACTTGACTGTACCAGAGAGGAAAGGAAAGAGATGCTCTCACCAGCAAAGCCAGACTTAAAGAGTGGGAAAGTGCTATCAAATCCAAAAGATCAAATTGCTTTAATTGCTTATCACACACATTTGCATAGTCAGTAGGGGCAAGGGTATTTGGTTTATTGCTGTTTGGGTTCCTATAAATGATTCTTACTAAAAATGCAAGAGGTTAAAATGTATTGAACTGTCACTAACTCTAATCTCATAAACACTAAGAAATACATAGAAAACTTTGATCACACAAAAAAGATACATTATGACAGATTCCAGTCAATCCAACTTGCTTTTCTCCAACCAATGACTGTTCAGTTACCCTATAGAGTCTTCCTTATTTTTGAAGTGAATACAATAAAATTATATTGTGTATGTGCTAGTATTTCTGGACTTTTTCTTTCAATATAATATTCCTTTGTATTCATTAAAGTTTCTATATTGCACATATAAGTAATTTATTCCTTTCGATTGCTAAGAAGTATTCCATTACATTTACATAGCACACTTAGTTTATCCATTCCTTTGTTGATGGACACTTGAGTTGCTTTTAGTTTGAGGTTATTGTGAATAAAATTGCTATGAACATTTTTGTCTAAGTCTTTCTGTGGACTTTTGTTTTCTTCCTTTTCTTTATTTCCTAGAGGAAAAGTTTTAATTCACTTATGCAGCTTTTATATGTATTTTAATAACTTGTTTCTGTATAATTTGCTTTTGTGTTATTTCAAGTTTTAATTAATTTTCCTAAATTTTTATCTTCTAATTTTGCTGGTATATAGAAATATACTTCATTTAAACTATTTATCATATAATCATTAAACTAGTATAATTCATTAAACTCTGTATCATATAAACTTATTACATTTGATTGGCAGCTTTAACAGTTATTATTATAGATGTCACTGGATATCATATTTACCCAACTGTATCCTCTACAAATAAAGACAATTTTACTTCTTCCTTTTCAATCTTAGTGCTTTTATTGCTTTATGAAACAAAATAGGATCTGGATTTAAATGCTGAATAGATACAGTAGGTTTATCTTTGCCTTGTTTCTGATTTTTAAGGAAAGACAGTCAATATTCCTCCAATAAGTTTAATTTTAAAAACAGGCATTATCTAGATGTATTCTATCAATCTGTGGGCTATGTTCTCTATTGCTGGTTTTCTCTGACTTTTTAATTACGAATGCATATTACTTTCTTTCAAAAATTATTCTGCATATACTGAAATGATCAGATGATTTTTCTTATTTATTTTGTCAATTGGAATGATTGCATTGGTTGATTTTAGGTCAAACCAACCTCATATTCTGGAAAGTAAACCAGATGATCATGATGTATTAGCAATTTTATATGTTTGTCAGTATGATTTTTTAAATTTTAAGAAATTATGTGTCTATAATAATGTGGGATATTCATCTGTAATATGCATTTTTAGAATTGACCTCAAAAGGATTTGGGTTATTTATATTAGCCTTGAAAATGAGTTGAAACATACTTACTCCTCCTCTACTTCTTTTCTTATATTGTTTTCCTAGTTTCAATGGAGAGATGTAAAACATTGATTTTAAACATTTTTTATAATATAAAATATTAAAACTGTAAGTTATTCTCTATGAACTTTTAAGCAGTATTCTATCATTTTCATAATTATCTTATTGTTCAGTTGCTTCTTTTTAAATAGGTTTTCATTGTGATCTCTTTTGGACCACTGGTTCTTTAAAAGGAGCTGTTTAATTTTCAAATATTTATATATTGTCTAGATAATTTTATTATTGATTTCAAATTCAATTGCTGGGTGATTAAATAATATGTCCTAGCAATTATAGAAGAAATTAACAGATCATTCTATTTTGAAAATCTATTTTGAAAATATCAAGTTTAATAGTGTTTCATGAACTTAAAATCTTTCCTCTTCGAGAGCATTTGGAATAATGCAGTTCATAATCATTGTTGGGTATCAACATTTCTTCTGTAGTATATAAATGTACTTTGACTGGATCTGAATTTAGAGATTCAGATATGATGGGGCAAGTAATTTTGGTGCATGTACTCAGTTTAAGAAAATGATAGGCTGGATAACTTATTGGTGAAAACATATTAAATATTATTCAGCTAATACAAATTTTTATAGCACGAAAAAATGTGCCACGTTTTATGCTGCTAGCTTCATTCTTTAGTCAAGGTATCAAGATACTGCTTTTCTATGCTTAAACCTTAAGTTTTACACGCTGTCAAATAAACACCACGTGTGTGTTTGTGTATGAGCACAAAAGCCTCAAACTCACTCATGACCAACGATGGCTCTATATCCAAAATATAATGAAACAATGTAAAATAATATTTCTCTAATAGATCTTAGGATTGGTCTCCATCACCAATAAATAAAAATTAGATCGTAAAACACTCCTTCGTGGGAACAAACATGTTAAGATAGTAATAAAACAAATGGGAACCTACAAATGGAAAACAATTTGCAATATAGTTTCTTTTTCAGATTTTCTTTAAAAAGTAATGAAATTCCTTACGAATTTTTGTGGTCCACACTGACATATACACATGCACACACAAATTCACAGGTGCACATATAGGCCATTTAATAATTTGGATTTGGTGGAGTTTTTTGAGACTATTTTGAGGATATGCTTTTACATAAGCGTAGAGTTTACAAAGTGATACCTTGTTTCAAATTCAATTAAGAGAGAATTTGGAGCATGAACTGGGAAAAATAATTCAACTGTGTTTTTGTAATTTTTTTAAATGTATATTTTCAGATGTGCAATTTGCTTATACACACACAATACATATAAACAAATTGCACATCTGAAAATATACACACATATATGTGATACATGTATGTATATATAGTTTGTTTGATCGACCATTATTTAGTACTGTTGTAATTTGAAAACACATTTGCTCATCTCTATTATCCTGGAGATGAAGTAATCTTATATAACAAAAGATATCTGAGATTGTGAAATATTTCTCTAGTTGTTGGTTGCAGGTACTGGAGTAAAATAATGACAGTTTAAAACAGTGATTTTTATATAAATTAACTAAAACCTTTCTTTTTTGTTTTAATAGCCAAAGAGTAAACTTTGGGCCATATGATAATTACATTCCAGGTAAGAAAGCATTCAATATTTATTACAAAACAGGTGTGCTTAATTTTATGGTAAGTATTATCCTCTATTCAAAGTGATAAAGCAAACATTGCCATGGAATAAAATTGATAATTAACTATTTCCCAAGGAACCTTTCTTACAGGCCCAGTGAACACCTTTAATATATGTTTTGCTTTGTTTTGAATCCAAGGAAGTTTAAGTAAACATGCTCAGTATATGAAAGCCGGAAATAGTTACATGTTAGAAGTCATACAATCAGATAATCTTACAGTTGAAAAGCAATGTAGAAATTGGATAAATAACTTCTTGTTTATGTCAGGAATTTCTTCTACAACATTCCTGATAGATTATAACCAGCTTATAATTGGCCCCAAATTTCTTTACTAGACAAGGCAAAGGTATTTGATTTTGAAGAACTTCAAATATCAAGTATTTTCCCCTCAGATACTGAGCCTAAATATAATTTTTTTCTGTACATTTTTCCCATTGTTCCTATTTTCTTTAGAAAACTCATAGGAAATGTCTATTATTTCCACACATTAATGCTGCATGTGTCTAAATACAAAGATGAAATCTCTCATTGGCCTCATTGGCAACTTAAATAACTTTAATCATTTGTATTATAGTTTTCAGATGACTTCACCTACCCAGTCACCATTCTGTAGGCTTTTTGTCATTTTCCTTTACAAAATATGTCACCTATAACGATACCATTCTTGGGTGTATAGCATTTGCCCCCTTTTTTTTTTTTTTTTTTTTTTTTTTGAGACAGAGTCTTGCTCTGTCGCTCAAGCTGGAGTGCAGTGGCATGATCTGGGCTCACTGCAAGCTCTGCCTCCTGGGTTCACACCATTCTCCTGCCTCAGCCTCCTGAGTAGCTGAGACTACAGGCGCCTGCCACCACACCTGGTTTTTAGTAGAGACGGGGTTTCACCGTGTTAGCCAGGATGGTCTCGATCTCCTGACCTCGTGATCAGCCCACCTCGGCTTCCCAAAGTGCTGGGATTACAGGCGTGAGCCACCGCGCCTGGCTGCATTTACTCTTGTAGCTTGGAAAGTTGTTACTAACTAAGGGGATCTTAAGTCTTAGCACTTAGATTAAATCATGTATTTACTGAATATTTATGCTGGCATTGTGCTAAGTACTATGGGAGCTACAGAAGTAGTTATTTTCTGTTATAATAAAATTGTATACTAACCAAAAGCATAAAGCAAAAACCTAGACTGGAAGAGATAGATTTAAAAGGAAGCAGTAAAACTGAGTCTTTCCATTTATATTATAGTTATGCTAGTTTTGCAATGACTACTTTATACAGTCATCTGTAAAACTGCTCAAAATAGAAAAATCAATTTTTATTTTCTCATATTGATAACAGAAAATTGCAAACATTACCAAATAAATGAAGTCATAATTTGAATCACTTGTTTATTCATTTACATGATATACGTTGCACGTAATGCCATTTCAGCTCTGATGGAATTCTATTCACTCCAAAATGTGTTTTTTGTCTCCCTTATTTTAGTCAGTGAATTAAGCAAAAAATCATGGAATCAGCAACACTTTGCCCTGTTATTTCCCAAACCACAACGGCCAGGAACCAAAAGGAGATCAAAACCTTCTCAAATACGGGACAACACGGTTTCTGTAAGCATTGGAAAGATTTTATAATTATCAGTAATAAGTAATAACTTAGTAATAATTATAACCATAATAAGTAATTATAATTAGTCTTAAGTAATCACTAAGTAGTAAGCTTGTGAAATCATGTATAGTTGTATGTGTTATAGATCAAAGCTGACCAACAAGTTTCTGCAATGATGGGAATATTTATCTCCGTAGTCCAATGAGGCTATTAAATACTTGAAATGAGGCTAGTGCAACTAAGGAATTGAATTTTACATTTAAATTACATTGAATTAAAGTAAATTCACATGTGGCTATGAAATGCCCTACTGAACAGCACAGTTAGAGATAATTCAAAGTCTACCACTTAAAGAAAATAGATATGTTTTATTTGCATTTTACTGTATACAGTTGCCCCTTTATTTCATATTAACTATTTTTTTCAGTAACCACACATTGTAAAAATTGTTTCCAAGGAGCACAAAATTATGGAGTTCCTGATGTTAGAGTTAGTGTGAACATTCAGGAAATGTTCTACAGCTGGAGAAATCCCTCATTTGAGTCATGGGATTACACTATACCTTTAATACTTCCTCAGTTCTGTAATATAGAATTCAGGACTCAGAGTATTGGAAAATAAATATTTCGCAATATTTCTGGAGTCAACATGGGATAAGCATATGCTCAAAGAAAAGTTTTCACAAAATAAATGTATCATTAACTTGTTTATTTTTAAAAATGTAACCCATTAGTAGTGAACAAAGTTCTTTTTTTCTTGCTGAATTTATTTTTCCATTTTTGTTAATATTTGTACAGAGATTAGCTATTTTTGCCATTCAGTTTTGTACATATTTAATTAGAAGTTGAAAACAAAATGCATAATTTCTCTCAAATTAACATTCCCTGTTGTAGATTTCATTATTTCAGTTACCAATCTGATCATACTCAATTTATATCTGCCAAGCAATAGGAGTTTCAGGCTTTTATCTTTAACCATGAGTAGCATTCTAAATTCCAGAGACTCTGAAAATGAAAATAGACTAAGATATGCCTCAATCTGAAACTATTAGATATTAGAGAATAGTTTCTGATTTACCTAGAAATAGAAGGTGAGCAAGATATTCCAAGAATTCTCAAGAACATACAGTTTAAAAAGCCTCCTATGATTGTGAAGATATGCCATGAGTCTACCAATTTGAACCTAAAATCCCGAGGGAGCTATGAAGATCCTATAAACTGAAAGTAAGCTCCAAATGAGGCATGATTATTCACTAGTTTAAAAAAAGGATGACAATAAAAAAGCAAAATAAAGGATGAAATCTCAAACTTCCCCATTTTTTAACAAAAGCTAAAATCTTTTTATGGTTGAAATTA
This sequence comes from Homo sapiens, assembly GCF_000001405.40. Classification (NCBI taxonomy): domain Eukaryota; kingdom Metazoa; phylum Chordata; class Mammalia; order Primates; family Hominidae; genus Homo; species Homo sapiens. Next base: position 103,004,617 of record NC_000009.12, read on the forward strand.
AAATATATTTGGGATATATTAATACAAACTGTGTTATTCACTCACAAGTTGTTCATCATTATTGTAACCATCTTTCAGATAATTGATGAAGAACAATTAAGAGGAGATCGTAGACAACCATTATGGATGTACCGTTCTTTAATGAGAATTTCTGAGAGACCATCTGTTTATTTAGCTGCCAGGAGGCAGCCTCTCAAACCAACTCGTACTGTCGAGGTGGATTCTAAAGCAGCAGGTAGAGATAACTTACTGTTTTTATAGTATCTCTGTAATTTTCTGATTAGATTTCTATTAGAATTTTATCAAGTTTGGATTTTCCCATTTTAAGAAATATTTGAATATTTATCCCCAGAAATTGGTAAGAAAGGTGAAGACAAGACAACACAGAAGGACACAACAGATTCGGAATCAGAATTAAAACAAGGAAAAAAAGATTCAAAGAAAGGCAAGGATATAGAGAAAGGAAAAGAAGAAAAGCTAGATGCAAAGAAAGATAGCAAAAAAGGTAAAAAGGATGCAGAGAAGGGCAAAGACTCAGCAACAGAATCTGAAGATGAAAAAGGAGGTGCAAAGAAAGATAACAAAAAAGATAAAAAGGATTCAAACAAAGGCAAAGACTCGGCAACAGAATCTGAAGGTGAAAAAGGAGGTACAGAGAAAGATAGCAAAAAAGGTAAAAAGGATTCAAAGAAGGGCAAGGATTCAGCCATAGAATTACAAGCTGTAAAAGCAGATGAAAAGAAGGATGAGGATGGAAAAAAAGATGCAAACAAAGGTGATGAATCGAAGGATGCCAAGAAAGATGCAAAGGAGATTAAAAAAGGTAAGAAAGATAAGAAGAAGCCCAGTAGTACAGACAGTGACTCAAAGGATGATGTCAAGAAAGAGTCTAAGAAGGACGCCACGAAAGATGCCAAGAAAGTTGCCAAGAAAGATACTGAGAAAGAATCTGCTGATTCAAAGAAGGATGCAAAGAAAAATGCTAAGAAGGATGCAAAGAAGGATGCAAAGAAGAATGCAAAGAAGGATGAAAAGAAGGATGCAAAGAAGAAGGGCAAGTAGGCCTTGGATAAGAATTTGAACCGAAAGAATAATTCAAAAGCATATTTGATGAAACAATAGTGGTAGTCTGCAGCTGAATTTGTGAGAAAACAAGAGGCCTCAAAGAATTAAATAATTTTTAAAAGGTGGTAAAGAAGGATACAAAGGAGAACTCAGCAGAGATTTATAAAAATATATAAGAAAGATGTTAAGAAAAATTAAGGGGGGATCCATTGAAAGACTTGAAGAATACATATACTTATATTCGGGGATATGAAGGATTCAATGAATGATCTCTAGAAAGATTTAAAGAAGAATATTCAGATAAGGATGTTGAAGATAATGACACTAAATCTATGGACACACACACACACACACACACACACACACACACACACACACACACACACACACAGTTTAATGAAGGCTTAAAGAATCCAAGGAGACAGATGTTGTATCTATAGATTTAAAATAATCTCAAGCTGCATCCACAGATACAAAAAAATATAGGAGCCATGAAATGAAGTTAAACACCTTGTAGAAAGCCTACTTTCAAGTAAATATAGCATTCCTTTGGCAAAAAGAAAAAAAAAGTAAAAGAAAAGAAAAAAAATGTATTACCACCCGATGAGCCTACATCTTTCTTTCTGAAGTTTAAACAACCACAGTCATGTTTATGGTTGTTGGATGTGCCACTTCCAATCCAAAAGAAGCACACTTGGTAAGTCAGTTTTGTTTTGTTTACTTATTTATTTATTTATTTATTTATTTTTTGAGATGGAGTCTCTCTCTGTCGCCCAGGCTGGAGGGCAGTGGCGCGATCTCGGCTCACTGCAAGCTCCGCCTCCTGGGTTCACGCCATTCTCCTTCCTCAGCCTCCCAAGTAGCTGGACTACAGGCGCCTGCCACCAAGCCCAGCTGAATTTTTTTGTATTTTTAGTAGAGACGGGGTTTCACCGTGTTAGCCAAGATGGTCTCAATCTCCTGACCTCGTGATCCGCCCGTCTCGGCCTCCCAAAGTGCTGGGATTACAGGCGTGAGCCACCGCGCCCGGCCAGTTTTGTTTTATTTTAAGCCAGATTGAATTAATTATTGTCTTTTTCATTTTTGAGGGTACATAGTAGATTTAATAATAATTGAACCAAATTATAATTAGATAGGAGGAATAAGTTCAAAAGATCTATTTTATAGCATGGTGACTATAGTTAATGACAATATATTGTATTCTTGAAAAATCAATGCTAAGAGAATGAACATTGTGCTCTCATCGCATAAATGATAACCATGTGAGGTGATGCTTATGTCAATTAGCAAGATTTCAGGATTCCACAATGTATACATGCTTCATAACATCATATTGTACACGATAAATATGCTTTTACTGATCAAATTAAATAAATTTAAAATAATAAACATCAAACTAAAGGTTCAAATTGACACTGTTCTTATATTATCTCTGTAATTTTCTGAGTAAATTTCTTTTAGAATTTTATGAAGTTTGGACTTTCTCATGTTAAGAAATATTCAAAGAACATGGAGAGACAACGAAATAAATGAAGCTTTAAAAAGTGTCTGTGGAAAGGTTAAGGAAGTCTGTCATGAGGGAGAGGTTACTAGCTTATGATAGATGATATTATTACCAATTAAGCATCCAAAGTTTTAAAATAGAAAATATTAATCAATTTATTTTGATTGAAAGAAGGATGAAACTCAAAATTGTTTATTACCAACAAGAACAAATTTAAATGAGGCATATGAAAGAGCTACTTGATAAATGGCTAAATACTTCACAAAACTAAATTAACCAAAATTTAACAGAGTGTAACAGAGTAAGAATATATACATAATATTTATTTAGATGTGGAAACAATTAACTTACTGTCTCTAAAACAGTAAAACTCTGTATTAAACTCTGTTGTGACCCATAAGTCCTGTTGATTTGAGGAAAAAATAAAAAGCAGTATTAAGCAAAATGCAATATCCTTGAACTTCTCAATTAAATGACAATTCATTTATTTCTGATTTAACATTTTCTTAAATAAACTCAGTGTTGCTGCAGAACTTGCTAAATGATTTTCTCTTTTTATTCTTCCTGACACAAACTTTGGATGCAACATAAAGCTTCTCTTGGACATTAAAGGAAGGGTCTCCTAGTCTGTATGTTCCTAAGAGCTACCTTCCAAGGAACAGTAAGGAATAATTGTTTTTCTTTAACACTTAACATTGGGTCCTGTCCCTCCTGCATCAACTACTAAGAGTCAGTGGTTATTGTAACTCCTGATCTGCCAGGTGATCACACGTTGTTAGCCTGGGTCAGCTGTAATGGCAGAGGGAGTCAAATCCTGGCCCTTTGTTCTCCTCCCACTCCCTCTAGGAACCTGCTCATCATCTTCCTCTGCATATAGTAAAATTATGTGTTGAGATTGCTAAACTTTTCTGGAAATGTTACCATCTCTCTGAAGATTTAGGAAATCATTTCAAATCCTCTTTTTCCTCTATAAAAAGGCCCTTAAAATTATTTTCACCAATAGGATTCAAAAGTCAGGTTTTAGATTGAAATGTAATGTAAAATGACAGAAAAATTGAGCTTCTACCTTTAATATCCTACTGAGGTGCGCCATCACTAAATTTTCTTGTAGTTAAATTTAATAGCAGTGTCCTTTTATTCCAGTACCTCTTCATTTACATCTATGTTGTTTTCTCAGTTATTCCAATAAAAAATAAAAATGAAAAAAATGGCTTTACATACCATTCTTATGCTGTTGAATTTTATATTTAAATCTAGTATTTACTTATTTACTCAGTTCCATATTCCCATATCCAAATACTTACTTAAGCACCTAGTTGACTAGCTTCCAGGTATCTCAAAATTAACAAATCCCAAAGAGAACTGTTGACATCCCTCCAGCAATGCCTCTTTCTCCCCAAGTTCTGCCAAACCCATTAAATGACGTTGGTATCCAATCTGTAGCTTAATCCAAAATCAGTGAGTCATCCCTAATTACTCTTTTTTCTTCACCCTGCCTACTAGTAGTAAGTCCTATCCTGTCTACCTACAAAATACTCGAGTTGGTATAATTCATTACATTTCTACCACTTCTGTACACTAAAAGTCCAATCAACCATTATCTCTTACTTGAAAACTCCAAAGCCCTCTAAGTGCAGGGGAAGCCCCTGCTTCATGTCTCTCCACAACGCCATATCCCATTCTTCATATAGAAACCATCATGTTTCTCCCTTGGTCAAAGCTTTCTAGTGTACTGATGCCACACTTACCATCAACTTTTCTTTTGCTCTGGCTTATAATGCATTAATGATCTGTGTGCTGACTATTTCCCTGCCCTCATGTGACAACACTATTCCTTTTGTCTACCATGCACTTGTTGCATTGGATTTTTAAAAATATTTTACCACATGTAACCTTACAATATTAAGCCTTTACACTTGTTCCTTCTCCATAGAATGCAATTCTCCTAGAACATCACACTGTTGACTCCTTCAAAATAGTCATTCTCAGCTTACATTTTACATTTCCAGATATATTTCATAGACTAATTTATTTTTTGACACAGTGTCTCTCTCTGTTGCCCAGGCTGAGGTACAATGGTGTGATCACAGCTCACTGCAGCCTCAACCTCCCCAGGCTCAGGTGATTCTACCACCTCAGCCTCCCCAGCAGCTGGGACTACAAGAGCTCTTCACCACATCCAGATAATTTTTGTATTTTGTAGAGATGGAGTTTTGCCATGTTGCCCAGACTGGTCTCCAACTCCTGGGCTCAAGCAATCCACCCGCCTCAGCCTCCCCAAGTGCTTGGATTACAGGAATGGTACTATCAGAGACTAGATGTTAATAATTACATCATGGAGAATGGGGTAACTACCCCTTCAAAGATTTATCCTTTGTGTTAAAAACAATATAAATATACTCTTATAGTGATTTTTAAATGTACAGTTATTACTGACTATAGTCATTCCAATGTGCTATCAAATAGTAGGTCTTATTCATTTTTTTCTAATTTTTGTGCATTAACGATTCTCATCTCTCCTTCAATTCCCCACTACCTTTTCCAGACTCTGATAACCATCCTTTTACCCTCTACCTCTATAGTTTGTTTTAATTTTTAGATACAACAAATGAGAGAGAACATGCAATGTTTCTCCACATCTTTGCCAACACTTTTATCTTTGTAATAATAACCAATTTATATATATCACATATATACAAACATACATATGTGTACACACATACATATATGTGTATATACACACATATATGTATTATACACACATACATATATGTGTACACATTGAATTTATTACATTTTACATGTATGTGTATATATATATATATACATGTCAATATAACAAAAATAGAAAATTTAAAATAACCCATATCATTTTTGATGGCATCAAAATATGCAATAATTTTATTATCACTAATTGATTCAAACTTATTTTCATGAGAAATCAATACAATCAATTTTAAACAAATAAGAATTTACTGAAAAAGTGCATAGAAGTTGTCATATACCAAGTTAATTATGTACCAAGTGAAAAGTTTTATACCAAATTACTTTATAATCAAGAAAATCCTTGTAAAAGCAGTGGCAAAATACAAAATTATTGCATAATTATAATCATATTCAAGTTATCTCACAAATGCTTAATCCACAAAATCTTTTTTAAGTTAAAATAACAGCAGCAGGAAAAATGACTACTATTTATTTACTACTATTTGCTAAACGCTTTCCTCGTATTATCACTTAATCCTCACAATCCTAATATATCTCCATTTAATTGAAGCACAGAAAGGTCAAGTAACAATAAATTTGCACAGAGAGTGCAAAACCAGAATTTGAATCTGAATGAATCTCATATGACACCAACGTTTAGACTGTGGTTATGTAGTGTAATTGTTTGTGGATTTGGGAGAATTTTTCTTTAGCACCACAGGTTCAGTTTCTTCATATCCTATGTATCTTTATTTGCAAAAATGTATAGTTATGTTAAAATTACATAAAATTATATTATTAGTTTAAAGATCTACTACAGAATTTAAGAAGGCAGTTGTTCTATTCATAATTGCTCACAATCAGCCTCTCCTCCTACTACTGTTCCTACTCTCTATACCCTTTGTGTCTGCTCAGTAAGTATTGCACATTGCTTAGTAGTTTACATTAGTTGTATTTGCAGGAATGTGCTGTATTGAACAAATATGGAAATTAAAAATATGCATAGAATCCTAGATCAACCATTATGTAATAATAAAAAGGGACTAAGAAGCAGGATGTAAAACACTGAAGTCAAAGAAAAATGGAAGAATACTAGTGTATGCCTAAGAATATTGATTCTAGAAACCATTACAAAAAATAACAACTAGATATAAGATTATCTGCTAATGATTACTAATGTTCTCTAACCCCTCCAAGATAAGGACTTCCTTGGTATATATGCATTGAGAGAGTCACAGTTAACATTGAAACAGTACATACATGCATATACGCACATACAAATAAAAGGCTTTGTTTTTATTATTTCATTTATTATTTTTGCACCAAAAGGACAATGTGCATTGTTCTCCATTCTTTTCTTTTGTGAATTTGTAAGCTGTTTGAAGATTTTTTACCCCCCTTCATTTTGTTTAACTTTTAGTGTAACTTTAAAACAGGTTTTTCAAGTACTAGGGGACATGAAATACTTACGTTTCATAAAAAATGTTTTATATCAAACATTGTCACATAGCTTTGATGGCTAAGTAACTTACTGAATTTTGGTACTTTAGGTTGAGGAACTTAAGCTATTTCTATAGAAAAGGTGACAGTCATTCTGTAATGGTACTTGAAACCTGATAAAACCACATGAGTGACAAAAATGGGGTCCAAGTGAAGCTAACCGATTTTGAAAAATGGGGGAGGGAGTGATGGCTAAGAGGATAAGGCACCATTAATACAATTCCAAAAGGGCTCAACTTTGCAAGAGATGGCAAAATCCAAAACCATTGCTCTGTGGGTTTATACAATAAAGTGTTCTAAAGTTTATTTATGAAATAAACAGAAAATTTTGCCTCTAGAGAAAAAGGTATGTCTAAGGGTCATAAACATCCTAAACTTATATGCAAGTGTTGTAGCTATTTGCATAATTTTTATACAAAGTTTGGCCTCTTTAGAAAGTGAGAGTCCAGGAAAAATATGAAAGGAATTTTGAAAATGATATTATTCCAGTTCTCTTTGCAACATGTATCTTTGTCAAATCACAAAGTAATAACTTGCTAATACTTAGATCATTCTCTTTTTTTTTTTTTTTTTTTTTTTTTTTGATCGAGTCTCGCTCTGTTGCCCTGGCTGGAGTTCAGTGACATGATCTCAGGCTTACTACAGCCTCCACCTTCAGGTTCAAGTGATTCTCCTGCCTCAGCCTCTCTGGTAGCTGGGATTACAGGTATGCATCACCACATCCAGCTAATTTGTATTTGTTTTGTTTTAGTAGAGATGTGGTTTCACCATGTTGGTCAGGCTAGTCTCAAACCTCTGCCCTCAAGTGATCTGCTCACCTTGGCCTCCCAAAGTGCTGGGATTACAGGCGTGAGCCACTGTGCCCTGCCTTTAATACAGACAAATATATGAGGCAAACATACACAGCCCCTGGCCTCCTTTCAGTCATTTAGTATTTTTATATCATGTTCCTTCAGGTCCACTTTTTTAACCATTGGACAATGCCTCATTAGTAAATACACCAGATAAAATAATTCCGGTGTTTTGAACATATTGAATATGGTATCTGAAGACACCGAATATTTTCTAAGGGAGCACAGTTCCATTCTAAGCCTTGTATATAGTTTATGACAGTTTTTATAATTATTCTTTTTTAAATAATTCAAATGTAAGTTCTTCACTTAGCCTAATCTGAGCCCTAATCCATAATAAAATAAAATTGCTTGTGTAAATAAAGTAAAATATAGAATAAAAGTATTGTGGAAAGTATCCAGTGATAATATCTAAATAATAATTGAGTTTTCTTATCAGGCTGAACTATTTGGCAAACATATAAACAGAAACGTACTCCAGGTGTTAAATATGTTCAATAATCAATTTTATAGTTATTAATAAGTTATTATATGTGGTTTATTTTATACTTTCTCAGTTATTGGATGCAAAAGAAAATAGCTGCCATAGTCATCATATGAGCAGTTTTACGGTAGGCAAAATCAAAGATTTTCAGGGTATATACAGAGAAGATAGTGAGTAACAAATCACAGTATGGTGTAGTTTGGCATTCGGAAAAAAAGTTAAATTTATAAAAATCCATAAACTTTGAAAGTGCATTTCTGTTGGCTGGAAAAAAAAGGAAAGGGTATGATTTTATTGATAGCAAGATTAAGAACCAAAAATGCACTTAAAAACTAATTGTATATGTATAAATATGTATCATAAATAATATAAAAATATATATCATAAATAATATAAAAATATATATCATATAAATATATCATATATAAATATATATTATATAAATATATATTTAATATATTATATATAACATATTAATGTTATATATTAATATGTATATTATAAACATATAACATGTAAATATATATTTAATGTGTTATATATATTATATATAACACATTAAATATATATTTACATGTTATATGTTTATATAACCTATATATATTTAATATATTATATAAATATATATTATATAAATATATATTTAATATATTATATAAATATATATTATATAAATATATATTTAATATATTGTGTATCATATATACATAATACAGAAATATATATTTATCTATTATATATTATATAAATATATATTTAACATATTACATATATTATATTTGTAAGAAATAAATTATATTAAGTATATATTAAATTATATTAAAATTAATATATGTATATCTTACATATGTATTTACAATATATAAATATATTTATAAATATTTTATATATAATATGTTATATAGATATATATTTATATAAAAATATAAATATATTATATTAAATAATATATATGATATATAATATATCCTGTACATTATATATTATATATATTATGCATTTTATATATAATTATATATTATATTATATATAATTATATTTTATATTATATATTATATGATTATATTTTATATTATATATTATTATGTATATAATATGTATATAATATATAATAAAGATAATACAATGTATTATATATTATATATTATACATATAATAAATAATATATTATATATAATATTATATTATACATTATATATCATATCTATTATTTAATATAATACTATATATTATATATTATTATATTATATATTATTTAATATGATATTACAGTTATATTATAATATATTAAATATATTATTCATATTATATACATACTTTATATATCTATTTAATATTTCATATATAAATTTAAATATTTAATATATAAAATTAAATATAATAAATATATTTTATATTATATTATAATATATTAAATATATTATTTAATATATAATATGAATATTATATATCTCATATATAATATATAATATGAATATTATATATCTCATATATAATATATAATATATATGTATGTAATATATATCACATAATATATTACATTAAATATATTACATAGTATACATAATATTACATATATATTACATTGTATATATTACATAATGTATATAATATGTATATATTACCTAATATTACATAATATACATTATGTATATTACGTAATATAACATAATGTATGTTACGTAATGTAACATAATAACATAATGTATATTACATAATATACATAATGTATATTACGTAATATACATAATATGTATATTATGCAATATACATAATATATGTAATATACATAATATATGCAATATACATCATATGTATATTATGCAGTATACATCATATGTATATTATGCAGTATACATCATATGTATATTATGCAGTATACATCATATGTATATTATGCAGTATACATCATATGTATATTATGCAGTATACACCATATGTATATTATGCAGTATACATATGTAATATACGTATGTATATTATGCAATATACATATGTAATATACGTATGTATATTATGCAATATACATATGTAATATACGTATGTATATTATGCAATATACATATGTAATATACGTATGTATATTATGCAATATACATATGTAATATACGTATGTATATTATGCAATATACATAATATATGTAATATACTATGTATATTATGTAATATACATAATATATGTAATATACATAATATGTATATTATGTAGTATACATAATACATGTAATATACATATTCATATTATGTAGTATACATAATACATGTAATATACATATTATGTATATTATGTAGTATACATAATACATGTGATATACATAATTTGTATATTATGTAGTATACATAATACATGTAATATACATAACATGTATATCACGTGATATACATAACATGTATATCACGTGATATACATAACATGTATATCACGTGATATACATAACATGTATATCACGTGATATACATAACATGTATATCACGTGATATACATAATACGTATATACCTATATTTATATATAATCTGATATATAATATATATTATATACATATATTTATATATTATATAATATAATTATATGTTATAATATATATTATATATAACATATACAATATATTATGTTATATATATTATATATAATCATATTATATAATGTAATATATATTAAATATATATATATGCTTATTATATATTATATATTATAATTATATACTTATATATCATTAATATATATATTATATAATTATAATATATAATACATTATATGTAATTATATAACATATAAATATATATAATACATGTTTATATATAAATATATAAATATTATATATAAAATATATGTATATATACATAAAATAAATCTCCTTCAGCTAATTTTAACATAAATCACCTTTAAAGTATGTCTCTTGAGTGTTCCTTGGACTCTCTACTTGACCAGCGCTCTACCTTTCAGAGTAGCTCGTTTTTGTCTATGACTAATATGGCTTTTAGAAAATGTTTTTTAGAATATTTTGCCTTTTATAAAATGTGTTTCTTACATCTAGTTTTAAACTGTGCCAATATATCATCTAAAATTCTAGTTTCATATCTTGTTTTGTCCCCAAAATACCAATATCTATTATACTATTCCACTCTAAATACCTCTGTAACCAGATAAGATGGAAAGACAGAAGCTAATCTCAACTTCTAATTCCCATTAAGGCTCAGGTCTGGAAATTATATATATATCTAATTGTATATATATAATATGTAAGTATATATACATACATATGTATGTGTATATGTATCAATTATCTATCTATATGGATTTTGATAGATAATTGGTAATTCACAGTATCAATTATATATACAGATTTAGATAGATAATTGATATTATCTATATCTACATATACACATTTATGTCTCAGATATAAGTATAGACATAGAATTTTTCTATCTGGTATATTAAAAATGAGTTATTTTCTAATGGTTAAGAAACAGACCTGATGGAGCATAATGTATATCATATATAGATACCTAATTGGGAACAACTTAAATAAAAGCTGATAAATTATTGGGTAAACAGAGTGGCCTAAATAAGATTCAGAGAAAGCAGCAGTCACTGGCCACAGAGGTTCAGCACAATGCTCCAGGAAGAAGCTCTGGGACAGCTTTTCTCTCTAGCACATTGCCATGGAAGATCTATGCCTGCTGCTCTTTCTAGACAGAAAAATAAGACAGGATTTTAATAAATTATAATTTCAGTAGTTGTCACATGCATATGTGTGTCCACAAGCCATTTATCCCATCGGTGTTCTATTTTCTGCTATTTACTACTACTAGGGCATTTTATATTCTAGTATAGGATGTTTTGTGAGAGGAGCCACTATTTTTTAATCTCTATCAGTGACCTATTAATTTCAGGTTGTTGTTGTACCTGGTCATTAATCAATGTTTATAAAAGGAGACAAGAAAGGAAAATTAAAATTTCATATGGATTGATTCAGTTGATTTACAAGGAAAGACAACTTCCTCTTAGGAAGAGGTATTTTGTCTTAGGTAAAGTAACTTAATGGCATAACAGATGGCTGAACATGAAAGATGAGGCCCCAGTGCATAGCACATATGGAAGTTTACATTAGAAAAAAATAATTCATCTACATAAGAGATAAACTTTTTGTTTTTGAAAGGGAAGGAAAATAGCTGGCATTTCTTGCTGGAGAAAGTTATCACAAGTGGAAAGGTTACCCTAGAAACAAAAGATGTAAGTAAACTGAAATTTACCCTTATGTGTAATAGCCATCTAATTTTAGAACAATGATGTTTAATATGTAATTTAAAGGTTTTTTTTTTTCATGTTGTTTTCATCTGCTGTCCCATACCTGCAATAAAAGTCATTTGAGTAAGTGGCTTTGCTTTGATGATACTTAAGGGGAAGAAATGGAGAATTAATTGGGCTAAGCATGATAGTAAAGAGGAGAATGGGATTTCAAAAGGGGATTTAAGGTGGGTGGCATTTGAGAAGAAAGCTTAAAAATGAAAATTATTAGAATATGTCCTAGTAACACCCAACTTTCCCTAAATTCAAAAAATATTACAAAGTTGGAAAATATTAAAGTTCATCATAGTTTAAATTTTCCTATTTAAACAAAGTAAAGGGCATCTGCAGAATGTTGAAAGTTTGAAACTTCATGGACTTATTTATTTCATAAAGGGCTCTCTAACTTCTACACAAATTAGAGTTTTAGTTAATTGCTCCTAATTTGGTTTACTGAATAAATTGATCTGAAATAAAGTATGCTTTTCAATTATGTTTAGCAAGTTTCATTCATCTCTTCAGAAACTTCTGTTTCATTTCCTCCATTTATACAAACCTACATGTTAACATATTCACAATATCTATTTTCCTAAACCCAGGACAAAGAATATCAATTGGTCCCTCTGTAACTTTTCCTAGATATAGTTGGTAACTTTTTCTTAGAATGTATGCATTAGGGGTAGACTGGTTTGCTAGGACTGCCATGACAACAAACCACAGACGGGGTAGCTTAAATAATAAGCTGTTTTCTCAGTGTTCTGGAAGGCTAAAAGTCCACAATCAAGATATTGGCAGCGTTGATTTCTTCTCAAGCCTCTCTCCTTGGCCTCTATGTGGCTATGTTTTCCCTTTGTCTTCACATGGTCTTTCCTCTGTGTGGATCTGTGTTCTAATCTCTTGTAAGACCCGTCATATTGCATTACGGTCCATCTTAATGACCTCATTTAACCTTTATTACTTCTTTAAAGGCCTTGTCTACCCAGTCACATTCTGTGGTGCTGGAAGTTAAGACTTCAACATGTAAATTTCAGGGTAGACAATTTATCCCACAACGAAGGTATATGAGATCAGTTTTTTAGTTTTAATCACTCAGAAACCTAAGGTTCTGAAGTAGTATCTTCAGTTGAGGAATTTGTACTCATTTTTTGGTAGAAACTCTAATTTGTTTAAACAATGAGGAGAACTTTATGACATAATTGAAATCCATGTATTTTCAGACCTTCAGCATTTGGTAGATGCCCTTTACTTTACCACTGCTTCTGGGAGAAGGTTTAGCATCTCATTTGACTCTGATTTGATTGTGTTCCAGGACTACCGTGAGGATGGATTGGACATTACACCACACTGGAAAAGTGAAACATCTCATTCAGTTGGTGATCTTCCTGTCATGAAAGTTGCTTGACAGCTCTAATTACGAATTGAACACATTAAACACCTGGTGAAATTATCAATTAAAAACATCTAGTCACCATAGTTATTTGTGTCTAAGTTTCAGTGAGTTATGACCTACCTCATAACCATCTACACATGGTTGTCAATGGCACTGGTTTTGCTAAATTATTAAAACAGTCTTTGTTAAAATTACTTAATTTTCCTATCGTTCTACCTGGACCTGGTCTTCAGTTCAGTATGGAAGGTATGGAAGAAATCTGTTCTCCTTTACCACACAATTTCTTTATCAGAACTAGTAGCTTCTGTCATTATAAAGCTGGGTTAAAGTGCATACCACACTCAGGCTTGCTCAAAGTTTGCAGTCGTGTGTATGACATTATGCCCTGATTTCAACACTTTTCATTTTATGTTTTTCTATTTTTGTAATTTGGGTTGGTTCTTATATAGATTTAAAATTTTTCATTTACTGTAAGCTACCATTCCCAGAATTCCCTCTTTAAAAGATTGATTTCTGCTTGGATTATCTGAAGATATCTAAAGATAAAGAATTCAGGCCCCTAGTTCCTAGTTTTTCCCACTATATCATCTCTCTCCTTGACAGTTTGCAGTTTAGCAAATAAATTTTGTGGACACGTAGCCCTTTTGAGTTAACACAAAACCTTCATCAGTTTTCTTGTCAAGAAAACTAAAACCTATATTATTAATATCAAGCCATTAAAATTTCTTCTTAAAGGGATCACTTTTGAATTTTAAATATTCTTCAAAGCAAATTTACACCATTACAATCTGGCCCTGATTTTATTGTTCAATCTTATTCCCATATTTCTTCTTTTCATCTTTCTACTTTACTTTCTTTCCATCTTACTACTCCATTTTTTTCCTTCAATCCAACAAAACATGCCAACATTCCTTTTTTATTTTTTTGTAAACAGTTTTGAGGTAAAATTGATATTAAGAAGCTGAATATATTTAATGTACTTTATTTAATGAGTTTGGCATGTGAACACATCCTGAAGCCATCACTATAATCAGGGAATAGACATATTCATCTCCAAAAATTTCTGGGGTTTTTTGTTGCTTTCTTTTGTTTTGTGGTAAACACTTAACATGAGATCTGTCCTCTTAACAAAGTTTTAAGTTTGTAACACAATATCGTTGACTGTAGGTACTATACTGTTGAGCATATGCATAGAAGTAATTCAGCTTAAATAACTGTAACTTTATACCACATCCCCACATGCTCCTTCCCCTGGTCCCCAGTAACCGCCTTTGTACTTTGTATTTTCTAATTCCATGAGTTTGATTATTTTTGGTATATCATATATGTAGAATCATGCAGAATTTGTCCTTTTGTGACTGACTTACTCAGCATAATGTCGTTAAGGTTTATCCATCTTGTCACATATGGCAAATTTTCCTCTTTTTAAAAACTCTGAATAATAGTCTGCTGTATGTCTGTATTACATTTTCTTTATTCATTCAACTGTCAATGAATGAGCTGTTTCCATAGCTTGACTATTGTAAATAGTGCCACAATGATCATGGAAGTATAGATCTCTTAGAGATTCTGATTTCAATTATTTTAGGTAGATACCCAGGAATGAGATTGCTGGATCATATAGTCTTCTATTTTTAATTTGTGGAAAACTTTTCATACAATTTCCCGTAGCAGCTGCACCATTTTTGAATTGTCAGCAAGAGTGAGATAGGTTTCAAATTTTTCCGTAACTTCACTAACATTTGTTATGTTTTGTTGATAATAGCCACCCTAACCGATGCAAAGTGATATCTCATTATGATTTTATTTTGTAATACTCTGATATTGATGTTGAGCATTTTTTCATATACCCATTGACCATCTGTATGTCTTTTTGATACATGTCTATTAAGATTTTTACCCATTTTTAAATGAAATTATTATGCTATTGAGTTATATGACTTCCTTATATATTTTGTATATTTCTTATTATATACATGGTTTGCAAATACTTCTTTAATTTCATATGTTAAGTTTTCACTGTACTGATTGTTTCTTTGCCGTACAGAAGCTTTCTTAGTTTGCTGTATTTTCTTGTCTATTTTTTTATTTTGGTGGCATATCTAAGAAATTATTGCCTAGCCCAATGTCAATAAGATTTTCTCCTGTACTTCCTTACAGCAGTTTTACAGTTTTAGGTCTTACATTTAAATCTTTAATCTATTTTAATTTGATATTTGAGTATGGTATAAGGGTCCAATTTAACAATTCTTTTTTTTCCCCAAAATATATTTTAAACTTTCCGTCTTTGGTGTTTTTACCAAACTGTTTACTTGACCTGGAATATCACTTTCTTTTATTGAATTTGTCAAACATCTGTATATTTTCCAATGTCCCTATTTAGACAGTAGCTTCACAGGAAATTTCCAGATCATCTTCTATAATCTGTGCCTAATTCTCTAGATGGGTATCTGATAAGGAGATTGACATATTTCCCTATCTTTATAAGCAGGAATCAGCAAAAATATTTAAAATATTATAATTCTTTCTTAGGACCAGTATTTAAATTCTCCATCAATTTATCTAAACAAGGTTGACTTCATTGCAATTTGATCAGTGAAGCTGTGTCCGGACCAGTGCTCAAAATGCCCTGCACCTGGAGTAAATATTCTGCAGTCATCATTTTGAAAATATTAATATTTTAATTTTTGAGCATCTGTATTGCAAATGAAATCCCACCAGACAATGTGGGCTGGGAGGAGGTAGGGTCAGATCCAAGTGAGGGCCCTGAAGGATCTGGAGATGGGAAAGGTAGCAGCCTTCTCTGACTCAAGTAGCCAGCTCTATTGGGCCATCCAACAAGATTTGCTAGCACCTCTCATTCACTCCCATCCACATACTAAGCACATCCTCTCATGGCATCTGCAATCCCTTGGTGGTTTTCAAGCTGCCATGGTTTGGAGTGGTGAGCTTTGGGAGAAAGGGAGACTGACTTCCTGTCACTGGCCAGAGTTTTGCATTTTCATTTTGTATTGAGCCCCTCAAATTATGTAGTTGACGAGCCTCTAATATATCTCCCAGCAACAATCTAGTCAATGATTAATTCTATACTAATTATTCTAAGGTAATTGAAGTTCTCTTTTCCCCTGATATTCACACAGTTTTGTTGTGTTTTGTTTTAACACAGTCTCACTGTGGATTGCCCAGGCTGGAGTGCAGTGGCAGGATCATGACCTCCTGGGCTGAAGCAATCCTCCCACCTCAGCCTCATGAGTAATTGGAAACACAGGTGTGTGCCACCACGCACGGCTACTTTAAATTTCCTTATTTTTTTTTTTGAAGAGATGGGTTCTCCCTATGTTTCCCAGGCTTGTTTTGAATGCTTGGGTTCAAGCTGTCCTTCTGCCTTAGCCTCCCGAAGTGTTGGGATTACAGGTGTGAGCCACCATGCTAGCCTCACATGGCTTAATACCAAATTAAACAATAGCAACACAGAAGGTTAAAGACATTCCATAGCCATTGATTACATTTCTTTTTCTCTTAAATGGTTTCAAGAAATACTGTTATTGTATTAAATTGAACTAATATTATTCTGAAGACAATATTTATATGTGCCTAAATAATTAGAAAGCATATTATAAATGTAATCTGAGAAAAAATATTCTATATTTAAAAGTTGTAAAGAGACATTTCAATGTAATGTGGTAGACAGAACATGTGTCTAGATTCTAGACTTCCTATTTTCTACCTGTGTATTATTGAAATATTTTTGTTTCCAAATCTTAACTATTTATTTATTTATTTATTTATTTATTTATTTTTAATTTTTTTTAATTTTTTTTTTATTATACTCTAAGTTTTAGGGTACATGTGCACATTGTGCAGGTTAGTTACATATGTATACATGTGCCATGCTGGTGCGCTGCACCCACTAACGTGTCATCTAGCATTAGGTATATCTCCCAATGCTATCCCTCCCCCCTCCCCCGACCCCACCACAGTCCCCAGAGTGTGATATTCCCCTTCCTGTGTCCATGTGATCTCATTGTTCAATTCCCACCTATGAGTGAGAATATGCGGTGTTTGGTTTTTTGTTCTTGCGATAGTTTACTGAGAATGATTTATTTATTTATTTAAACCTAAAAACGTGCCTGAAAATTTACTTTCTCAATAAATCTTAGTCACTTTCTCTCTCTAAAATAATTATCTTCATTTTTAACTTGGAAAGCTTATTGAGCTGCTAATTAGCTCCTAAAATATGTCCCATAGGGCATGGATATAAATCAGAACATTGAAACAAAAAGAACAAAATTAATCCTCAAAATTAAGTGGAAAATTTAGACTTCCCAAAGGATCTGAGGAACGAGTAGATGGGGCCTTAGAGAAAAAAAGAGGCAAAAACAGAAGATGATATAACTGGCATTCTATACATATTGATGGTTAGGAAGAATCGCAGAAAGACTTTTTAGGAAAATGGGTGAACTTTTAGTAGTTATATGGTAATGGTATACAGTAACCCTCATTAAAATATCCACCATACTCTTAAAAGTAATAAGTAGGCAAAGCTTTAAGCTGTAAGTTTGTACAGAATGACTGATGTGTGCCATGGTGGAGTTCCATGGTAACTAATGAGCGTGGCATAGTTTATCAACTGGATAAATTCATCAGGAGTAGGAACTCAGTCCAAATCTGTAAGCTCCCTGTACTTGTACTTCTTTGCTGGAGAAAATGAAATAAGAACTAGCACTAAAAAATAGGAAATGCCTAGATCATATTAAATATATAACAGATACTATTATATATGACAAGAAACTACACTGAAACAGATTCTATCAACATACAAATAGAGAACCTGAGGCACAGAGAGGTGCTTTTCCCACTATCCCACAGATTATAAGGGGTAAAAGCAAGATTTGAACCATGACTCTTCATCTCTAGACCCCATGCTCTTAATCACTACATCATAGAACCTCTCTGCACTGATTCTTAGTTTGTGATATGGTTTGGCTCCGTGTCCCCACCCAAATCTCATCTTGTGGCTCCCATAATTTCCACATGTTGTGGTTTCAGATGGAGATGAGGAACTTGTTGAGAACCGGAGCAAAGGTGACATGTATTATGTTTTAGTAAAGAGACTGGTGCATTTCATCCCTGCTCTAGAGATTTGTGAAACTTTGACCTTGAGAGAAATGATTTAGGGTATCTGGCGGAAGAAATTTCTAAGCAGCAAAAGTGTTCCAGAAGTGACTTGGGTGCTGTTAAAGGCATTCAGTTGTACAAAGAAAGTAGAGCATAAAAGTTTGGAAAGTTTGCAGCCTGACATTGCCATAGAAAAGTAAATCCTATTTTCCGAGGAGAAATTCAAGCTGGCTGCAGGAATTTGCACAATTAACAAGGAGCCTAATGTTAATGGCCAAGACAATGGGGAAATGTCTTCAGGGCATTTCAGCAGTCTTCACAGCAGCCCCTCTCATCACAGGCCTGGAGATCTAGAAGAAAATAGTGGTTCCATGGCCCAGGCCCAGGATCCTCATGCTGTGTGCAGTCTGGGGACTTGGTGCACTGTGTCCCAGCCACTCAAGCTATGGTCGAAAGGAGCCAATGTAGAGCTTGAGCTGTGGCTTCAGAGGGTGCAAGCTTCAATCCTTGACAGCTTCCATGTGATGCTGAGACTCCAAGTGCAGAGAAGTCAAGAATTAGGGTTTGGGAACCTCCGCCTAGATTTCAGAAGATATATGGAAATGCCTGGATGCCCAGGCAGAAGTTTGTTGCAGGGGCAGGGCCCTCATGGAAAACCTCTGCTATGGCAGTGCAGAAGGGAAATGTGGGGTCAGAGTCCCCACACGGAGTCCCTATTGGGGCACTGCCTACTGGAGCTGTGAGAGGAAGGCCACAGTCCTCCACACCCCAGAATGGTAGATCCACTGACAGCTTGCACCATGCAAACGGAAAAGCCACAGACACTCAATGCCAGCCCATAAAGGCAGCCAGGAGAGAGGGTGTACCCTGAAAAGCCACAGGGGAGGAGCTAACCAAGACCATGGGGACCCATCTCTTACATCAACATGACTGGGATGTGAGAAATGGAGTCAAAGGAGATCATTTTGTAGCTTTAAGATTTGACTGCCCTGCCGGACTGTGGACTTGCATGGGGCATGTAGCCCCTTCGTTTTGGCCAATTTCTCCCATTTGGAATGACTGTATTTACCAAATGCCTGTATCTCCATTGTATCTAGGAAGTACCTAACTTGCTTTTGATTTTACAGGCTACTAGGCAGAAGGGAATTGCTTTGTCTTGGATGAGACTTTGGACTATGGACTTTTGAGTTAATGGTGAAATGAGACTTTGAGGGACTGTTGAGAAGGCATAACTGGTTTTGAAACGTGAAGATATAAGATTTGGTGGGGGCAGCAGAGGAACAATATGGTTTGCCTTTGTATGCCCACCAAAATCTCATCTCGTAGCTCCCATAATTTCCATGCATTGTGGGAGGCACCTGGTGGGAGATGGTTGAATCATGGGGGCAGGTCTTTCCTGTGCTGTTCTCATGACAGTGAATGGGTCTCAGGAGATCTGATGAGTTTAAAAATGGGAGTTTCTCTGCACAACCTCTTGTTTTTTGTTTGTTTGTTTTTTTGTTTTGTTTTTGTTGTTGTTTTTGGTTTTTTGTTTGTTTTTTTCCTGCTCTCATCCACGTAAGATGTGAATTGCTCCTCCTTGCCTTCGACCATGATTGTGAGGCCTCCCCAGCCATGTGGCACTGTGAGTCCAATTAAACCTCCTTCTTTTGTAAATTGCCCAGTCTGGGGTATGTCTTTATCAGCTGGGTGAAAACGGACTAATAAAGTTTGCTAACATGTAAAAGTAATTTCAATCTTTTTTCAGTTTTCCACAAATAACATGTGAATTACACTAACTGGGATCCCTTTCACTTTCTCAATCACCATGCGAAAATAAGTAACCAGAAGTTTAAAATCACTGCAATGCAATTTTTTTGCAATAGATTAAGAGTCATACCTCACACATTTTTTTTCTTTTCTCCCAATTGCTTGGTACAGTGTAGTATATTTCTCATGGTCCAGCAGCAATAAGATGGTATACTTTTAAATAATTTATACTTACCTATTTTATAGTAATCTCAGCCCAATATATTTGCTTTTTGAGGTGGTGTGGAAGTGATTTTGTTCATTCAGGATTGTTGAATGTAATATTTTCTAATTAATTGTTTTATCTTCTATAGACACTTAGATTCTTTACCATTTTTAAAAGTTTATTGCCTAAAAAAGAGTAATACTATCTATATTAGATTTTGCAATTATTATTGCACTACTGAGCCTTCTACAGTGGATTGGCAGGCTAACTCCACAACATACATTTTGACAGGTCATGTTTATTTAATAGGTGCCTTAGACAAGGCAGAAAATACAGAGGCAGATACAGACATGGAAAACATGTTTGGATGGTGTTTCACTCTGAATTTAAGTTAATTTTCAGTGACTTTAGAGTTTAAGTAACAGAAGGCTATTGTCACTGCTGGATGGTTTATTCAGAAATTTATTATATTTATCTTGGAGCTAATGAGTCAGTGTGTTCTTAGCCAAAACAAGCAACAACGGGGTCACATAAAGTATAGGAAACTGTATATAATGTACATTAATTAACTATATATGTATCCTTGAATAACACGTACACATTTTTATATGTACATTCTGGGCACTGCACTGGTAGCTTTAGACAACAGTAGCATCTTTGTAGTGCATGATCTTGACATTTAGTTGTACACTTGTAGCTTTACCAGATATGGTAGAAAATTCTGAAGCAGAATGAGATCTTTATGCATTGCTGGATAAAACATTTCCTATATTTTAATAGCAGAGCTGCTGATTTGCTTGAATGACACAGAGTAATTATGTCTGCACTTCTAGCTTTAACTTGTTAGTGCTCTTAGTTAGGCAACACTAGATAGGCTGCCCCAAATTATATTTGGGATTAGGAGCAAAAAAGAAAGCATAAAATATTCACCTGGTTGTCCTCAAATGCAGGAATCAGCATCATATGTAATCTCAAGTTGATTCCAGGATTGAATGATGTCTGAGATGTAAACACAAGTTTGCCCGCGAAAAGGTATTAAATTTTATTAAAACACAAATAAAAAGAAATGGTGGCTCTTACTATGGGCAATGTTTGACAGATTCTTAAATCAAGATAGTGAAAGTATTTATGAAGTTATCGCAAAGCCAAAAGGTAAGAAAGCAATTTAAAGGACCTAGGATTGGAGCACTGCCTCTGGAAATACTGAATACTATTCTATGTGAATATGTACTACATTTTATTTATTCATTCGTCTGTTGATGGACACTTAGCTTAATTCCATATCTTCGTTATTGTGAACAGTGGTGCAATAAGCATGGGGATGCAGATATCTCCTTGACATATTTATTTCATTTTTTTGTATATATACCCAATAGTGGAATTTCTGGATCATATAGTAGTTTTCTTTTAATTTTCTAAGGAAGCTCCACACTGTTTTTTATAATAGCTATACTAATTTACATTCCCAAAAACAATGTGCAAGCATTCAAAAATGACACTCAAAAAAGACAGTGTTGAATTTTAAGAATTTATATCTTACACAACTTACTAAAACTCCATAGAGAAATAATTAAGATTGAAGCTGCTGTTTGAACAATAGGTCTATCTAGAGTCGTCTCTAAATTAATCCAAACGAAGGAAAAAAAGCTAGATTTTTCCCAGTTAGGCTAAAGCTATCATTTGAGTCTACCAGCCATTTAATTAAGTTCCAGCAATGTACATTTTTGGTGGAGTTGAAGACACTTCATGTCAATGCCAGTGATGCACAGTTAAGCTGACACCAAGTGCTTACACAGAAATTGTGCGATGGTAAGTGTGCATTGTTGTTTAAAGCTATTAAGAGCTAGTATAATTTGATATTTAACAGCAGATAAGTGATGTACATAGAAAATAATTTAAATAAAAAGCTTTGTCTTCTTATTCAAATATTCTGTTTTGGTAAGCCAGCCTAAACCATGCTGCAAATCGTTTTACCTACTTTTGAAATGAGTTCTGCAACAGCGCAGCCAGGTGACATCAGAAGATGGCAGAATAAGAGGTTCATCCACTCATATCCCCCCCATAACCACAATAATTTGGCAGCCATCCAGGTACAAGAGTGACTTTGTGAGACTTCAAGGATTCAGGTAGGATCTTGCAAAACAATAATGGAGCCCATATTAAGGCTGGTGTTTTGAGAAGATCAACCCATGCTTAAGTGTCAAGGTCATCAACGATCTTCCTGGATACAGACGAATAAACAGCCTAATATGGCCTTGGTCCTGCCACCAGAACTATCTGCTAAGGGACCATAGAGGAGCCATGCCCTCCCATGCCTCCAGTAACAGACCTGTTGACCTTAATCTTGGTTGTAGACCTTGAAGCAAACTGTGACCTGGCTCTAGCCCCTCCTAGCAGCAGTATAGGATCAGTCTTTTCCACCAAAGAAGTCAGTGGAAGACATGCCTGTTGGTGGCCCCAAAAGCAGGACTGTAGTCCTTAGTCTTACTGAAGATCTAGAAGCACCCTTGTGATCCAGCTTCAGCCCTGCTCAGTTATTAACCATGAGAAATTCTGCCCACCCTGGAACATAGCAGGCAGTACATTTGTACTTCTGGAGGTAGGCCTGTAGACACCAGTTTGACCATGGCCCCAGAAGTGACACTGTGACTCAGTTTCAGCTCCTCTCAGCTGTAGCCTGGGGCTAGTTCTGCCCACCCAGAGACCCACCAAATGACTCACAAGATGCATTCCCAGGGATGGTGTTGAGTATCTGTTTGGATGGAACATTTTTCAGGATATATCATACGATAAGATACAAACAAATCTCAACAAATTTAGGGAGATTAATAATCTTGTCACCCATATTGATATGAAACTAGAAAACAATAATAGGAGAAAAATTGGAAAATTCACAAATATGTGGATATTACACAACACAAACCTGAACAATAAATGGGTCGGCCAATAAGGAAATCAAAGTAATATCAAAAGGTATCTTGAGACAAAAGTAAACAAAAATCTCCACACATGCCAAAATGTATGGTATGCAGCAAAAAGCAGTTCTAAAAGGGAGGTTTACAGCAATAATTGTCTACATTAAGCAAAAAGGAAGATCTCAAATAAATCCTAATATTATACCTCAAGGGACTAGGAAAAGAATGAACAAACTAAAACCAAAGTTATTAAAGGAAGGAAATAATAAAGACCAGAGAAAAAATAAATGAAATAGACACTAGCAAGACAATGGAAAAGCTCAACGACAACAAGGTTGGTTTTCTGAATGGTAAACAAATTTGACAAGCTTTTAGCTAGGTTAGCCAATGGAAAAAAGAATGAGAAAGACTCAATATTATAAATGGATGAAAAGAGATTACAAATGATGATACTAAAATACAAAAGATTATAACACAATAAAAGACTACTATGAAAATTTATATGCCAATTAGTTGGATAACTTAGAAGAAATGGTTAAATTCCTAGAAACATATAATATACCAAGACTGAATCATGAAGAAATAGAAAACCTAAACAGATCAATAAAGAGTAAGCAGATAAAGCAGTAATCAAAAACCTCCTAACAAGGAAAACCCCAAGACCAGATGGTTTTATGGTGAATTCTACTAAACATTTAAATAATGAACACAAATTCTCAAACTCTTTGAAACAATAAAGAGTAGGAGCACTTTCAAATTTATTTTGTAAGTTCAGCATTACCTTCATACTAAACCCAGATAATGACACCAGAAGAACAGAAAATGATAGGACATTATCTCTTATGAATATACATAATACAAAAATTGTCAACAAAACACTAGCAAATCAAATTGAACAGCACATTACAAAAATCATACACTATGCTCAAATAGTATTTTCTTCTGAGGTACAAAAAAATCATTCAATATATTTAAGTCAATAAATGTGATACACAACTTTCACAGAATAAAGGATAAAATTGTTTGATCATCTCAATAGATGCAGAAAAAGTATTTGACAGAATTGAACATATTTTCATGAAAACAAGCTCTCAAAAAATTAGGTATAGAAGGAATACACCTACATCATACTCATTGGTGAAATGCTGAAAGTTTTTTCTCTAAGATCGGGAATAGGACAAGGGACTGACTCTCACTAATTCTATTCAGTATAATACTGGAATTCCTAGCCAGAGCAATTAGGCAAAAAACAGAAATAAAAGGCACCCAAATGAGAAAGGAAGAAGTAATAGTGTCTCTGCAGATGACATGATCTTATGTATAAGAAGCACAGAACACTGTATCAAAAAACTATAAGAAGTAATAAGTGAATTCATTAAACTTCCAAGATATGAAGTAACATAAGAAATCAGCTGTGTTTCTATACTTACAACAAGCTATCTGAAGAAAATTAAGAAAAAAATTAATTTACAATGGAATAAAAAAATAAAATACTAAGAAATGAATTTAACCCAGGAGGTAAAAGATCTTTATACTAAAAACTATAAAATATGGATGAAATTGAATAAGATAAAAATAAATGGAAAGACATCACATGTTCATGGGTTTGGGGAATTAATATTGTTAAAGTCCCCATGCTACCCAAGTAACCTAATCATTCATTGCAATTCCTATCACAATTTTAATGGCATTTTCACGGAAAGAGAAAAAAAAAATCCAAGACTTGTATGAAACCACAAAAGTGAGGACATCACACTTTCATATTTTAAACAGTATTGCAATGCTATAATAAAACATTATGGTACTAGCACAAAAACAGACACACAGACTGATGGAACAGAATTGACAGCCTACAAATAAACCCAGGCACGGCTGGGTACAGTGGTACCTGCCTGTAATCCCAGCACTTTGAGAGGCTGAGACAGGAAGATCATTTGCGGCCAGGAGTCTGAAACCAGCCTGGGCTACATAGTGAGACCCTGTCTCCATGAAAGAAGAAAAAGAAAAAAGGAGTAAACCCCATGTACATGGTCAACTAATTTTTTACCAAAGCACCAAGAACACACAATTTAAAAAAAAAAAGTATTTTTAATGAATACTGTTGGGAAAAGTATATCCACGCACACAAACAGTGGAAATGGACCTTTGTCTTACACCACACATTAACATTAACTCAAAGGTGATAAAAGAATTAAGTGTAAAATGTGAAACTTTAGAACTTCCATAACACAATATAGAAAAAAGTTCCTTGCCATTGGTCTTGACAATAATTTTTTTGGATATGACACCAAATGCACAAGCTAAGAAAGCAAAAATCATCAAATGTGATTACATCAAAATAAAAAGCTTCTGTACAACAAGTGAACCAACAGAGTGAAAAGCAACCTATGACATTCCAGAAACTATGACATTGCAGAAACTATGACATTGCAGAAACTATTTGCAGACCATATATCTGATAAGGAGTAATATCCAAAATATACAAGGGACTCATTCAATTTAATAGCAAAAATAAGTAACTAAATTAAAAATAGACAAAGAATATGATTTTTTACAAATAAGATATACAAATACCCAACAGATGCAAATGCAAATTAAAGGTACAATAAAATATTACCTTACCTGTATTAGAATGGCTATTACCAAGAAGACAAAAGATAATAAATGTTGGCAAGAATATGGAGAAAAGAAAATCCTTGCACACTGTTGTGGAGAATATAAATTGGTACAGCCGTTATAGAAAACAATATGGAGGTTCATAAAATATTAAAAAATAGAACAATCATATTACTGAGCAACCCCACTTCTGGGTATCTATTCAAAAGAATTTAAATCAGGATCTCAAAGAGATATCTGCACTCTCATGTTCACTGTAACATTATTCACAATAGCCTGGATGTGGAAACAACCTAAATGTTCATCAATGGATGAATATATAAAGAAAATGTGAGACATACAGATAATAAATAGTAGATACACACACACACACACACACACACACACACACAGTGGTCTATTGTTCAGCTTTGAAAAAGAAGAAATTCCTGCCATTTGTGACAACATAGATGAACCTGGATGACAATTATGCTAAGAGAAATAACCAGACACAGTTATACAAATACTGTATTTCCTCACCTATATTTGACATCTAAAAATGTCATACTCATAGAAATAGCGTGTAGAATGGAAGGTGCCAGGGGCCTAGTGTTGGAGAAAGAGGAAAATATTGGTCAAATCATACAAAGTTTCTATTATGTTGTTAATAATTTCTGAGGATCTAATGTACAGCAAGATGACTCTAATTATAATAACTCTGTGTTTTATTCATAAAATTTGCTAAAAGTGTAGATCTTAAGTGTTCTCACCACAATGAAAAAAGAAGTGGAAGCCATGTAAGGTGATTGATGTGTTAATTAACTTGATTATACTAAGCATTTAACAGTGTATACATATATCAAATTATCACATTGTACACTTTCAATATATACAATTTTATTGCCAATTACATCTCAATAAAGTTGGCAGAAATAAACACTGCAGTCAAAGGCTTGCTATGATTCTAATTCCTCATCTGACTCTTAGATTTTAAAATTTGTGTAAATGTAGAAAAAGAGAAACGACAAATCAGAACAAACCATTCTACCAATCCATGGAAGACTCTCAGTGCCTCAAACTTCATCCTGTATATGGCAAGGCTCCTTTCCCCTGGTTATTAGAAGTGATACCACAATCTATAGCTTTTTTTCTGGGGGATCAGAGACTTGAGAAGTGAAATGTAATAAAAATGAGTCTAATGTTTATCTGGAAATAAAGGCTTATTATTATTATCATCAATATTATTATGTATTATTATTTATCAAAAAGCCAAAGCTAAGAGATTAAGAAATGGATCAATGATTGCCAGAAGATGATGGATGATGAAGTAGTCAGCTTTAAAAGGAATACATTGGAAGAACATTTATGGTGACAAAACTGCACTGAATGTTATTGGGATGGAAGACAAGTGACTCTAAGCACATGTCAAAATTCATAGAACTGCAATACTAATAATGAGCTTGAATACATGAAAACTAAAAATAAAGATAAAAGACACATAAAGGATGGTGAGAGATCCTAGGATGGCATGCAACCATGACAAGAGAATGTTTTATACACATATGACATAACTGTATTATTAATAGAAGGGTTACAGCAATAATGGGATACCTAACTTTGAAAAACGGTGTTTTGACTGGAAACTATACAACTAAAGACAAATGGAACTTTTTATATAAACTGCATTCAAAAGTTAGTTGGTAAATTTGTATTTTGTGAAGACACAGATTACCAATTCTGCTTTACATATGGACTGGATTGAACAAATAATTAAGTGGATGGCAAATGTTGGGAGTCAAGTTTCCCACTCTCAGGGAAAGAAGCTACAGATAGGCAAGGAGGAAAGGCTAGTCTGGACCTGGTGTTCCTCAATCAGAGTCAGAGATATTAGTATGAACTCAGGTTTACTATATGAAAATAGATAACTAGATAAATGATAGATATAGACAGATAAACATATAGATATGTGAATATTCATGAGTTAGTATATACAAATAAATTAAATGGCTTTGTACTCTAAGAGGGCTTAGACACAGTGATACCCCAGCAGCAATGAGCATACCCAGCATTCAGATACTTATGCAAAAATACCATACACCAATAAAAATAATCAGAATTATTGATAAAGTGATTGATTCTGGGACTGGGACATGGAAAATGTAAGACAAGATGAGAGCATCCTGTAGTATTGGAAAGTAAAAATGTGCTCAAAAAGCAAAGAAGGGCACATTTCAAAGTAACACAGGAATTCACCCTAAGGATTCTCCAGGAAAGATTCCCCACTGGAACAATTTCTACAACAAAAAACCAACATAGTATTGGATTACATAGCCAAGTTTAAAATATATGAGTCCCTACTAATATAAATTATTAAGTAATTAAGTAAGTGGGGGAGAAGAGACAAATCCTCCATACAGAAAAAAATCTCAAATACTATACGTATGTATACATGACTTCCCTCTCAATGTGATGGAATTTAAACCCTTCATGAATGTGAGCAGAACTTAGTGAATAATGTCCAAATAATAAAATATCACAAAGGTGAAAACAGTAACTTTGTAGTGATGAAGGCTTTCAGATACTAAACCAAATGATAAAAGTTAATTCTACCAGTCATGTTGTGTGGATATACCATAGCCCCTGATAGGATATAACGCAAAAAGGACTTTGCTTGTGTGATAATCTTCTCCAAAACCCATCACCAAGTCTAATCATTAGAAAAATTTCAGACCAACCTAAATGGAGGAATGTTCTACAAAATATTAACCAATAGTCCTCAAAATTTTCAAGTACATGAAAAACAATGACTGGGAAATTGTCACAAAATAGAAGAGAATGACAGAAGAGACATGACAACTTAATCAATATTGTATCCTGACATAGAAAAAATCATGAGTAAAAAAACTAGTGAAGTATGAGTACATTATGGAATTTAGTTAATAGTATTACACCAGTGTTACTTTCTTAATTTTGACAAATATGTTAAGATAATGTAAAATTATAACAAGAGAAACTTAAACTGAATAAGGAATATATGAGAACTCTTTGCAATATGTTCACAGTTATTCTATATATTTATAATTATTCCATAATTTAAAAAGGTTATAAAGCAGTAAATTTTATTTATTGTACATTAATAAAATTCATAGTTAAAAATTGTATTATTCTTATTGTAATTGCTTTATTTTTAATTATTATGAATAAATGATAGTTGTACATGTTTATGGGGTACATATGATCTTTTGGTACAGGTATACGATCTGTAGTGATCAAATCAAGGTAATTGGAGTACCTGTTACCTCAAGTATTTATCATTTCTTTGTGTTAGGAACATTACAATTCCACTCGTTTAGTTATTTAAAATACAAAATAAATTTGTTAATTATTATCAGCCTATTGGGCTACTGAATACTAGATTTTATCAACCTACATTAAATATTATTTAGTGTACTTTAACTGTCTATGGAATGAGACATAATGACAGATTAATATCACCTAATTGAAAAATGGAGAAAAATACTTTCTCTGCACATCTCAGTTCAGTTTGCATAAATATTTAATCTCTCTACAAATAAATGCATTTGCCATAGTTCACTGCACAGTTTCATGAAATATTCACATTGGTTTTAGGTCAGTACTTACAATCACCATTTATAAAGATATTTTACAAGAAAACATCCATAGGAAAAAAATTATTTTCAGACATTGTTTGTAACCTATTTTAACCTTATGTTAGAAAATCTGAACATTGCGGTTTTAAAATATATTTTGATGTCTAAAGGGCAGACTTCCTCATTACCCTTCCATTTGAAATTGTCTTGAGTAATTTTGCAAGCATATTATTCCAGAAGTATTATAGAATCAGTTTATTAAGTTTTATGTAAATTTCATTGGGTTCTGTAATAGGAAGACATGTATTGAATTTAATTTCATAGATTCGATTGATGTAAAAACATATAATCTCCTAGGGCTAAATGCATGTCATTTTTTTTTAATTTTATAGTTTTAAACAGCATAGTTCCTGAATTGTCCTTTTTAAATCTCTTTTTAGGATAACAATTTTGTGCACTCTTCTCACTGCTGTGAGTTTTTATTTCACATCACTTTCCTATCTATCACTCTAGTACAAAAAAACTACAAGTTTTGTTTATTTGTTTCACAACAAAACATCCAGCTGAACCCCTTATTGTTTCTGTGCTTATTCAGCTGATTATCATACGATATTTTTATGTAGATAATCCTATCACCTGCATGGTGGGGAATTTAAAAAAAAAAAAGACACACTTCTTTGCTAATATTTACACCCAAAGTAATATTCTTGGAAAATTGCATTTCCTGTTTTTCCCAGAGTAATTAATAATAATAATAATAATAATAATAATAATAATGCCACCTGGCAATAGCTTCCAAAGTTTAATTAGAACACCTTCAAGGTTCCATGGTTTCAAAGCATTGCTTGCTTACTTGATTTGTCTATTTTGCGTATGCCATGTATGATACATTTTTGTAGATTATACAAATAATCCCAACCCTTATAATTTTATCAGTGGACTTTTCAAGGTGTCTGCTTTGCCTAGTTATCCCTTTACGTATTAACAAGTGTTCAGAGTAAAATAATATAATACATGGAGTATCAATAGTGTCTCTGTATTAGTCCATTTTCTCACTACTATTTAAAAAACTGCCTGAAACTGGGTAACTTATAAAGGAAAAATGTTCGATTGACTCACAGTTCCAAATGGCTGGGGAGGCCTCAGGAAACTTACAATAACGGCAGAAAGCAAAGGAGAAACAAGTACCTTCTTCACTTGGTGGCAGGAGAGAGAGTGCATGCCTGCAGGGAAAACTACCACTTTTAAACCATCAGATTTCCTGAGATCTCCCTCACTATCATGGGAACAGTATTGGGAAGCTGCCCCCATGATCCAATCATCTCCCACCATGTTGCTCCCTTGACACGTGAGGATTACAATTCGAGATGAGATTTGTGTGGGGACAGAGGGCCAAACCATATCAGTCTCCGAAGTAAAAGAAGTCCAGCTGTGTTTCTGACTCTTCTTCCTTTTCTGTTCCTGTGTTGGTCTAATACTAATTTTCCCCTGCTAACACACAGTCATCAATTGTGACATAACTGCATCAGCTTTCAGTTTGTTCTAAGTATATTAGAAGCAAAACAAATTATAGGAAGCATAGAACGTGATGAATATTTTACTGCTAACCTCTTGTCTTTGTTGATATTTTAATAGGGAATTGCTAAAAATTTAAGTAGAATATCATTTGGAGACTATACTAAAATATCTTATTGAGAGATATCAATAACTTCCAGTCATTAAATCCATTTGAAGTTTTTCCATTTCTATGACCTGACTAGACAGTACTAATAGTGAGCATATCCTTCTGAAAGGACTCTCATGTTTAACATTGCAAAACAATGGTATTGTCATATATTTCTACTAAGCTTTGTTCCTTTCCATTTCCATTGTCACCCACTTCTCCTACAGCTGCTCTTTAAATCTTGAAATACTTCTAGTCCTTTTAATCCCCATCCCCTACCTTTCTCCCTCTCTCATTAATATATATAAATTATATAAATATATATAAATATATAAATATATATAAATATATAAAAATATATATTAATATATTAATTATATAAAATACATATTAATATATTAATTATATACAAATATATTAATATAGTAATTATATGTATATTAAAATATACATTATGTATATACATAATGTGTATATTAATATATACATATATATACACCTATCAAAAGATCCTATGCACTCCCAGGACTTGAACTACCATCTCTTAAATATCTAACTTGGGCTTTAACCTCTTTCTTAAATGCTCTATCTCAATATTCTACCAGTCCCTCAATTCCTTAATTTGTTGCTTTAGAGGTACCTCAACCTAAACATGTCCCACGTTAACTTTATTTTATTCCTTTCCAAATCTCATTTTTTTCAATATGTTGTTTCAGAAATTATAGCCACTCTTCAACTGATTGCACCAGCAGAAACCAGAATAATATTATTTATTTATCATTAAGTTCTTTTTCCAGGTCTGTCCCCCGACGTTCTCTCATGTGTATTTACTCCTTTATAGGCCTATTGCTATCACCATAGACCATGGCTCAAAGTGAGTCATACGTGGACTGTCAAA
Organism: Homo sapiens; assembly: GCF_000001405.40. Lineage (NCBI taxonomy): Eukaryota > Metazoa > Chordata > Mammalia > Primates > Hominidae > Homo > Homo sapiens. The sequence continues at coordinate 103,037,160 of NC_000009.12, forward strand.
ATAGCCTTCACTTTTATGCCTCTACTCAATTCCCTTACAATCTACTCTTCCCAATGGTAGGCAGAAAGGAAGTGGTATTTTTAGTACAAATCTAACAGTAATCTTCCCGATTAAATTACATAATTGTGACCGTTTTTCTAAGATAGTGGAGTAGAGGCATTGCTAGTGTACCTCTCCCACTTGGAAGGACAAAATAGTGTGTAGAGATTCACAGTGTGAACTGTTTTCAAGAAGCAATGCAGGAACTGAACAGGAAATCCAATGGAATCCACAGAATCTTTTAAGGAAGTGGGAGGCTGCAGCTACACTGTGAGACAGGCGAAGGGCTGTGAGTCCCAAGTGTGAGAAGGAGAGAGTTTGTCTCTGGGATACACACCCCCACCAGGGTCCCTAAAAGTCAAGGCTACTGAGGAAGGCCCTAACCCTACCCAGTGCAGGAAACAACTTGGGGATAGCCATGGCATATAAAAGTAGGAGCAACTGCAGGAAGATAATTGCATGCACTCCCAGTTTGCAGCATGGACTGAGGGAAGCCACTCCTTTCTTGTACTTACAGGACACCCTGTAGAGGACAGCCAAAAATAGTTCAGGCAGTGGTCGCAGGTTGAAAGAAGCACCCAGCTAGATTTCATGATATAACCTCAGGTGGGGATGAACTCCCTTGAAATGGGGGAGTGAAAAGTGGGCTGCAGCTGCAAGTGCAGGAGTCACAAGTGCAGGAGCCACAAGCCTAGAAGCCAGGCACCCAGCTTTGCAGCAGATAAGGAGGGACAAGGCCTGCAAGCTGCATATGCTATCTCAGTGGGAAAGCTTATGACTCAGCGCAGTTGCCAGTTCTCAGTGTAGGCTGACTGGAACTTAGCCTGCTGCTAAGTGGAACACTGCCAGAGTGGATCTGCCTCATCGTGTGTGTTGGATCTGTGTGGGGCTTACCTCAGCCTGCTATTCCCCACTCCCTGTGTGAGCTCTTCTGTCCATCAGAGGCAGCAACTCTCCCCTCTGGAACATCAAGCCAGTGGCCTGAGAACTGCCCCTGTCCCCCAACACCCACAGGGGCTGCAGTTTGCCCTGCAGGAAGAGACTCAGAGTGCAAACCCACAAGACCCAGCCCCCACCCGGCTTTGTCCTGCCATTCACCCTGGTAGCTTACCACAAAGGACTGAAATTCTTGGAAGCATATGGCCCTCCTCATCACCTGAAAAACCAGAGTGCCCCTCCTGGGCAACATAAGGCAAGCAAAAATTCCACTACTACTGCTGCAGCTAGTGTTCTTTTTCAAATACCACCTTCTGTCTGGAGGCTAACCAAAACAGTCCACTACAGCATCTCCTGGTAGAGTAACGTTTCACCCAGGAAGGAGAAGATGGCTGTGTGATCTCAGCTATCATCACTGCCTGCACCACTCTGGCTAATTAGGAGGTCCTGAGCCGGTCCACTTGACCAGTCATTGCTACTATAACCAGTTTTCAAGAAAGCCAACACACTACGCTTATCAATAACCAAGGAATCTTACAGATTCTATGTCACTCCCCTATCACCCGTATTAAAGCTGGTGCTGCTTCCCACTGCCAGGAGTCTTGAGGCCAGGTCACATCATCAGATCCCTTGGAGACATTCCCCAGCATCAGCCTGGAGTGTGGCAACTTCACTGGGAAGCTAGATCCAGAGGAGCAACAACACTCACAGTAGTCTGACTGACCCCCAGGAACGCTCACTCCTAGGGAAAGGGGAAGTGTACTACATCAAGGGAACACCCCGTGGGGCAAAAAAGGATGTACAGCAGACCTTGAGCACTGGATATTTCCATAGGTGAGAAGTTTCTTTCAGCAGAGGCAAAGTTATAGTGCTGGGTTCAGCAGGGAAGGTCTTCAGTTCTAACCCAACAGTCAGCTCCCTGGTGTGCACCACAGGCACAACTGGGGGCCTCTCCCACAGGAACTTGGCATAAGTGCAACTCTATATGCCTTTCTGGAACATGTCAGATTGACTGTATCCCTACAGGAAGAGCACTCTCCAGGGTTGGAGAAGAGTCCGAGTCATAATTCCTCTCTACTTGGAACATCAACATTCCTACAGCTGACAAGAGCTGCCTGTTTGATCTGAGTAGCTGGAGCACTGGGACAGGAGTGTTTCTGAGAGATGAATAATGTTCCAGCTGACATGGCAGGGGAGCTGAGGTGGCTCCAACCATTTCCCCTGATAAGACCTCAATGTAACTCACTGAGAGCTCCTCCAGTCACCTCTGTCAAGGCTGTGACCTCTGCCCATCATTGGGTATTGCATTTATCCATCTGCTTTGGCCACAGCTGGTTCCTTCTGAGGGACAACTGCCCTACTGGCTGGAAGTCCAAATCATCAAAACAGCAAATAAAATACTGGGGAAAAATCAATAAGTAAAAAGTATGTAAGTAGAATGAGATAAGCTTCAAGAAACCTCTATCATTCCAATCCCACAGGAAACAATGAAATTGTTCACACACCAAGCATATTACTACTACAACCAGCACATGAGGAAGCCGTTGTAAAAAGACACTGTATTACCATTGAATTCTTACAGTCTTCATGCCTGAAGGCACCAAAAATAGAATTAGGCTATAATTAACTAAAAGCATTAAAGTCACATTCATAAGGGGTAAAAATAAATTAACAAACATATAAACAAAAAAGAAACAGTCAAATCAAACATAAATTCAACAATAATTAGAAGAAATAGTCTACCCAAATGAAAAGGAAGCAGAAATATGGCAAATGGTAATATGGCAAAACAAGGTTTTATAACACCATCCGAAAGATCACACTAACTCAGCAGCAATAGACTCAAACCAAGATGAAATCTTTGAAATATCAGATAAAAAACTCAGAAGGTCGATTATTAAGCTACTCAAGGAGATATCAGAGAAAGGTGAAAGCCATCATAAAGAAATGTTCAAAGTTCATGATATAAGTGAAAATTTTTCTAGAGAGATGGATATCATAAAGAAAAACAATTGGAACTTCTGGAAATGAAAGACAAACCTAGGGAATTACAAAATGCAGTGAAAAGTTTTAACAATAGGCTAGAACAAGTAGAAAAATGAATTTCAGAGCTTGAAGACAAGACTTCTGAATTAACCCCATCAGTCAAAAATAAAGAAAAAAAAATCAAAAGAAATAAACAAAGTCTCCAAGAAATATGGGAGTATGTGAAACAAACAAACCTAAAAATAATTGGTGTTCCTGAGGGAAAAGAGAAAACAATAATTCTGGAAAACTTATTTCAGGAAATAATTGGGGCAAACATCCCTTGCCGAGCTAGATATATAGTTTCAAATCCAAGAAGCTCAAAGAACTCCTGGGAAATTCACTGCAAAAAAGATATTCTCCAAGGCATATAGTCATTAGGCTACCTAAAGTCAACATGAAGAAGCAAATTCTAAGAGTAGTAAGACAAAAGCATTGGGTAACTTACAAAGAAAAACCTATCAGACTAACAGCAGGCTTCTCAGCAGAAACCTAACAGGCCAGAAAGGATTGGGGTCCTATCTTCAACTTCCTTAAATAGAATCCTAAATAGAATAATTATTAGTCAAAAATTTTGTATCCAGCAAAACTAAGTTTCATAAATGAAAGAGAAATAATGTCATATTCAGAAAAATGCTGAGAGAATTTGTCACTACCAAACCAGCACTACAAGAAATGCTAAAAGGAGTTCTAAACTCTGAAACAGAAGGCTGATCTGCATCAAAATAGAAACTCTTGAAAGCTTAAAACTCACAGAGCCCATAAATAGATAAATTAAAAAAGGAAATAAAAACTATCTAGGTAACACTTAATATGATGAAGAGAACAGTACCTCACATCTCAATATTAACATTGAATGTAAATGGCCTAAACTTTTCACTTAAAATATACAGAATTGCAGAATGGATGAAAAATTATAAACCAAATATGTACTGTCTTCAAGAGACTCATCTAACATGGAAGGATTCATATAAAGTCAAGTTAAAAAGGTAGAAATATATATTCCATGCAAATGAAAAACAAAAACAAGCAGTAGTAACTATTCTTATATTAGACAAAACAGACTTCATAGCAACAATAGAAAAAAAATGATCACCATATCATGATAACAGGATCAAGCCAACAATTCCACATTTATATTCACCTAACAGTGGAGTTCCAAGATTCAAAAAACAGTCACTACTAGATCTGAGAAATCAGATAGAAAGCAGCACAATAATAATGTGAGACCTCAATACAGCACTGACAGCACAGGGCAGATCATCAAGACAGAAAGTCAACAAAGAAACAATGGACTGAAACGACATGCTGGAACACATGAACTTAATGAATATTCACAGAATATTCTACCCAAGAACTGCAGAATATATTATTCTTATCAGCACATGGAACATTCTCCAAGATAGGCCATATGCTAGGCCTATCTTGGAGAGATACATTTTTAAAAAATCAAAATAACATCCAGTGTCTTCTCAGACCAGAGGAATAAAACTAGAAATCATCTCCAAAAAGAACCCTCAAAACTATACAAATACATGAAAACTAAATAATCTGCTGCTTATGATACCTGGGTTAACAATGAAATCAGATGTAAATTAAAAAGTTATTTGAATTGAATAATAATGACCCTAGTTATCAAAACCTCTAGAATACACCAAAAGCAGTGCTAAGAGGAAAGTTTATAGTACTAAATGCCATGGCATAAAATTTCATAAATATTTATATTTGCTGTACATTTTAATTATATATCTAGCATTTTTTTCTGTTTAAATGTAGACAATGCTAAAACTTGCCTATTGATTTAGATATTCTCAAGAAGGTGACATTTGTTACCATCAGCTGTTAAAACATTAATTATTTTATGATATTGCATTGTTTTTGTTAATTCTGAATAAACCAGTATGTCCTAAAAAAAAAAAAAAAGTCTTAAAGAGGGTCAGACGTGGTGGCTCACACCTGCAATCCCAGCACAATGGAGGGTCAAAGCGAGTGGATTGCTTGAGGCAAGGAATTTGAGACCAGCCTGGGCAACATGACAAAATCTTGTCTCTACAGGAAAAAAAAAAAAACAAAAGAAACCCTAGCCAGGCAAGGTGGCATGCTCTGTGGTACTGGCAACTCCTCAATCTGAAGTGAGAAGATCCCTTGAACCCAGGAGGCAGAGGTTGCAGTGAGCGAGATCACATCACTGCACTTCAGCCCGGGGGGGTGACAGAGTAAGACTGCCTCAAAAAAGAAAATAAAAAGTCTAAAAGAGCACAAATTGACAACCTAATGTCACACCTCAGAGAAATAAGAACAAACTAACCCCAAAGCTAGAAGAAAATAAGTAACAAAGACCAGAGCAGAACTAAATGAAATTCAAACAAAAAAGATACAAAGATCACTGAAACAAAAAGCCACTTCTTTAGAAAAATAAACAAAAAAGATAAACCGTTAACTAGGTTAACCAAGAAGAGAAGAGTGAAGATCCAAATAAGCTGAATTAGAAATGAAGCGAGACATTACAACTGACACCACAGAAATACAAACGATCATTTGAGACTGCTATGAACAACTTGATGTATACAAATTAGAAAATCTAGAGAAAATAAATTTCTGGTAACATACAACCCTCCTATGTTAAATCAGAAAGAAATAGAAGCCCTGAATAGACCAATAACAAGCAGTAAGATTGAATCATTATTTTAAAAGATTGCCGCAAAAGAAAATCCAGAACCAGATGGATTCATAACTGAATTCTACAAGACCTTCAAATAAGGATTGGTACCAATCCTACTGAAACTATCACAAAAGATTGAGAAAGTGGGAATCTTCCCCAATTTACTATATGAAGCCAATATCACTCTGATACCAAAACCAGGAAAGGACACAACAAAAAAAGAAAATTACAGATCAATTTTTATCATGAATATAGATTCAAAAATTCTCAGCAAAATACTAACTAACCAAATCCAACAGCACTTCAAGGGATTGTTTAACACACACAAGAAAATAAATGTGATATATCACATACACAGGATTAAAAACAAAAACCATACGAACACCTCAATAGATGCAGAAAAATCATTTTATAAAATGCAATACCCCTTTATGATAAAGACTTGCCTCAAAATAATAAAAGCCATATGTCAAACATACAGCAAACATCATAATAAATGGGAATAAGTTGAAAGCATTCTCTGTGAGAACAGGAACAAGAAAAGGATGCCTACTTTTACCACTCCTATTCAACATAGTTCTGGAAGTCCTAGCTAGAGCCATTAGGCAAGAGAAAGCAATAAAGAACATGTAAATTGGAAAAGAGGAAGTCAAACTGTCACTGTTTGCAGGTAATATGAAAGTATATCCAGGAAATCCTAAAGACTCCTCCAAAAGACTCCTAGATTTGATAAATACATTCAGTAACGTCTCAGGTTACAAAATCAATGTATACAAATCAGTAGCACTTTTATACACTAACAACAACCAAGCTAAGAATTAAATAATAACAATACTTTTTACAACAGCTGCCATCAAATAAATGAAATATCTAAGCATATACTAAAGAAGTTGAATTATCTCAAAAAGGAGAAATACAAACACTGCTGAAAAAAATTAAAGATGACACAAATGTATGGAAATGCATCCCATGCTCATGGATTGGAGAATCAATATTGTGAAAATGACCATATGGCCCAAAGCAATTTACAGTTTCAATGCAATTCCTATCAAAATACTGACATAAGTTTCACAGAATTAGAAAAAAAAAATCCTAAAATTAATATGGAACCAAAAAAGATCCCAAATAGCCAAAGCAATAATAACCAGAAAGAACAAATCTGGAGGCATCACATTACTAGACTTCAAATTCTACTACAAGGCTGTAAGTTACCAAAACAACAATGATACTGGAATAAAGGTAGGCACATAGACTGGTGGAACAGAATAGAGAGCCCATAAATGAAGCCAAACATGTACACCCAGCTTACCTTTGACAAAGCATACAAAAACATAAATAGGGGAATGAATATACTATCTAATAAATGGTGCTGGTAAAACTGGCAAGCTGCATATATAAAAATGAAACTGGATCCCTAGTTCTCACTTTATACAAAAATCAACTCAAGATTGATCAAAGACTTAAATATAAGACCTGAAACCATAAAAATTCTAGAAGACAGGTTGGAAAAGCTCTTCTAGACATTGACCTGAGCAAAGAAGTCATGACTAAGACCTCAAAAGCAAATGCAGCAAGAACAACCATAAATAAATGGGACCCAATTAAACTAGATAGCTTGTGCACAACAACAGAAATATTTAACAATAATTAGAGTAAACAGACACCCACAGAGTTGGAGAAGTTATTTGCAAACTACACATCCAACAAAGGACTAGTATATAGAATCTACAAGGAATTAAAATCAATCAGCAAGAAAAACACAAATAATCCCATCAAAAAGTGGGCAAAGAACAGGAACAGACATTTCTTTTTTAATATTATTATTATACTTTAAGTTTTAGGGTACATGTGCACAATGTGCAGGTTAGTTACATATGTATACATATGCCATGCTGTTGTGCTGCACCCATTAACTCATCATTTAGCATTAGGTATATCTCCTAATGCTATCCCTCCCCCTCCCCCCACCCCACAACAGTCCCCAGAGTTTGATGTTCCCCTTCCTGTGTCCATGTGTTCTCATTGTTCAATTCCCATCTATGAGTAAGAACATGCGGTGTTTGGTTTTTTGTCCTTGCGATAGTTTACTGAGAATGATGATTTCCAATTTCATCCATGTCCCTACAAAGGACATGAACTCATCTTTTTTTATGGCTGCATAGTATTCCATGGTGTATATGTGCCACATTTTCTTAATCCAGTCTATCATTGTTGGACATTTGGCTTGGTTCCAAGTCTTTGCTGTTGTGAATAGTGCCACAATAAACATATGTGTGCATGTGTCTTTATAGCAGCATGATTTATAGTCATTTGGGTACAAACCCAGTAATGGGATGGCTGGTTCCAAAGGTATTTCTAGTTCTAGATCCCTGAGGAATTGCCACACTGACTTCCACAATGGTTGAACTAGTTTACAGTCCCACCAACAGTGTAAAATATTCCTATTTCTCCACATCCTCTCCAGCACCTGTTGTTTCCTGACTTTTTAATGATTGCCATTCTAACTGGTGTGAGATGGTATCTCATTGTGGTTTTGATTTGCATTTCTCTGATGGCCAGTAATGATGAGCATTTTTTCATGTGTCTTTTGGCTGCATAAATGTCTTCTTTTGGGAAGTGTCTGTTCATATCCTTTGCCCACTTTTTGATGGGGTTGTTTTTTTTTTCTTGTAAATTTCTTTGAATTCATTGTAGATTCTGGATATTAGCCCTTTGTCAGATGAGTAGGTTGCGAAAATTTTCTCCCATTTTGTAGGTTGCCTGTTCACTCTGATGGTAGTTTCTTTTGCTGTGCAGAAGCTCTTTAGTTTAATTAGATCCCATTTGTCAATTTCGGCTTTTGTTGCCATTGCTTTTGGTGTTTTAGACATGAAGTCCTTGCCCATGCCTATGTCCTGAATGGTAATGCCTAGGTTTTCTTCTAGGATTTTTATGGTTTTAGGTCTAACGTTTAAGTCTTTAATCCATCTTGAATTAATTTTTGTATAAGGTGTAAGGAAGGGATCCAGTTTCAGCTTTCTACATATGGCTAGCCAGTTTTCCCAGCACCATTTATTAAATAGGGAATCTTTTCCCCATTGCTTGTTTTTCTCAGGTTTGTCAAAGATCAGATAGTTGTAGATATGCAGCATTATTTCTGAGGGCTCTGTTCTTTTCCATTGATCTATATCTCTGTTTTGGTACCAGTACCATGCTGTTTTGGTTACTGTAGCCTTGTAGTATAGTTTGAAGTCAGGTAGCGTGATGCCTCCAGCTTTGTTCTTTTGGCTGAGGATTGACTTGGCGATGCGGGCTCTTTTTTGATTCCATATGAACTTTAAAGTAGTTTTTTCCAATTCTGTGAAGAAAGTCATTGGTAGCTTGATGGGGATGGCATTGAATCTATAAATTACCTTGGGCAGTATGGCCATTTTCAAGATATTGATTCTTCCTACCCATGAGCATGGAATGTTCTTCCATTTGTTTGTATCCTCTTTTATTTCATTGAGCAGTGGTTTGTAGTTCTCCTTGAAGAGGTCCTTCACATCCCTTGTAAGTTGGATTCCTAAGTATTTTATTCTCTTTGAAGCAATTGTGAATGGGAGTTCACTCATGATTTGGCTCTCTGTTTGTCTGTTATTGGTGTATAAGAATGCTTGTGAGTTTTGTACATTGATTTTGTATCCTGAGACTTTGCTGAAGTTGCTTATCAGCTTAAGGAGATTTTGGGCTGAGACAATGGGGTTTTCTAGATATACAATCATGTCGTCTGCAAACAGGGACAATTTGACTTCCTCTTTTCCTAATTGAATACCCTTTATTTCTTTCTCCTGCCTGATTGCCCTGGCCAGAACTTCCAACACTATGTTGAATAGGAGTGGTGAGAGAGGGCATCCCTGTCCTGTGCCTGTTTTCAAAGGGAATGCTTCCAGTTTTTGCCCATTCAGTATGATATTGGCTGTGGGTTTGTCATAGATAGCTCTTATTATTTTGAGATACGTCCCATCAATACCTAATTTATTGAGAGTTTTTAGCGTGAAGGTTGTTGAATTTTGTCAAAGGCCTTTTCTGCATCTATTGAGATAATCATGTGGTTTTTGTCTTTGGTTCTGTTTATAGCTGGATTACATTTATTGATTTGCATATATTGAACCAGCCTTGCATCCCAGGGATGAAGCCCACTTGATCATGGTGGATAAGCTTTTTGATGTGCTGCTGGATTCGGTTTGCCAGTATTTTATTGAGGATTTTTGCATCAATGTTCATCAAGGATATTGGTCTAAAATTCTCTTTTTTGGTTGTGTCTCTGCCCAGCTTTGGTACCAGGATGATGCTGGCCTCATAAAATGAGTTAGGGAGGATTCCCTCTTTTTCTATTGATTGTAACAGTTTCAGAAGGAATGGTACCAGTTCCTCCTTGTACCTCTGGTAGAATTCGGCTGTGAATCCATCTGCTCCTGGACCCTTTTTGGTTGGTAAGCTATTGATTATTGCCACAATTTCAGATCCTGTTATTGGTGTATTCAGATATTCAACTTCTTCCTGGTTTAGTCTTGGGAGAGTGTATGTGTCGAGGAATTTAGGAACAGACATTTCTTAAAAAGAAGATATGCAAATGGACAAGAAACATACAAAAAATGCTCAACATAACTACTTATCAGGGAAATGCAAATTAAAACCACAATGAGATACCACCTTACTCCTGCAAGAATGGCCATAATTTTGACTATTATCAAAAGTGAAAGAAAAAAAAACAACAGTAGATGTTGGCATGGATGTGGGAGAAAGGGAATGCTTATACACTGCTGGTGGAAATATAAATAAGTACAAGCTCTATGGAAAACAGTATGGAGACTCCTTAAAGAGCTAAAAGTAGATCTACCATTTGATCCAGCAATTCCACTACTGGATATCTACCCAAAGTAAAAGAAGTAATTTTATGAAAAAGACACTTGCACATGCATGTTTATAGCAGCATAATTCACAATTGCTAAGATGTAGAATGTACAAAACTGCCCATCAACAAATGAGTGTATAAAAAAATTTGGTATACATACATCATGGACTACTACTCAGAAAGGAACAAAATAATGTCTTTTGTAGCAACTTGGATGGAGCTGGAGACCATTATTCTAAATGAAGTAACACAGGAGTAGAAAACCAAAAATAGTGCATTCCTACCAATAAGTGGGAGCTAAACTATGAGTACAGAAAGGCATACAGTGTGATATATGGAATTTAGAGAATCAGAAGGGGGAGGGTGGGAGGAGGGCTAGGGATAAAACAAAAGACACATTAGATACAATGTACACTACTCTACTGGAGGGTGCACTAAATCTCAGCAGTTATTACTATATGATTCTTCCATGTAACAAAGAACCACTGGTAACCCAAAAACTATTGAAATAAAGATTGTTTTTTAAGTTACATATTGGCTTTCAATTTTGGGGGGCTGAAAAAATAATCTTACAAGCCCTCTCAAGTTCTTGCACTTACATCTCATTCACATCTGTCTGTAAATGCATTACAGATTCATTGTAATTCAACTATGATGTAATTCAAATTTTTGCTTCCTAAATGCAGCATGTTTCTCCTCAAAGTTAAAATATTTCTTCAATGTACCCTCTTATGATTTTTTGCTCACACAGCTTCTTTTATCTGTATCTTTATAACATTTGTTATGCTTTACTTGGCCTTTTAATATCTTTCTTTGCCACCAAGTAGATTTTATTTCACTAAAGTTTTAAGTATTTTGTAATTATTACACACACATTCACTCCTGTACATTTTCATGGACATTCCCACATTAAGGTTTTATTATAGTTGTTTCTTACTGCTTATTCCAGTTTTTACAATAACCTAGGTCAAAATTAACAGTTAGATTCTACCCATTATAAATAAAATGATTCCTTGCCAAAATGCAAACTGCTTTTCTGCTATGTTTAATGAGATCAGCTCACACTTATCTGTTAACTCGTTTGCCTGAAGGAACTGGTAAACATTCTGATGTTATTTTTCATTATTATTGCTTTGGCTCATTCTTTTTTCTTTTGTAAGGTATATTTTTGTCTATTTTCTTGTCTTTAGACTCATTTGTATTGGAAGAAATATGTAATTTACCTACTGATAATTACAGTAGTCATTTGCTATGCTTATTAAAATTGGGATAGTACCAGAATTTTAGGCATTATTTGTTACTTAAGTCTCCAAATATATGGGAATTGGATGCATCCATCTAATGGGAACTGTTGATGTGCCAGAGACCTTACATTTCAAAAAGCATGAGCAGGTTTTTAGAAATTTTAGTGCCCTAAATACATTCTATATTCTGCACCAAATTTTTGTAAATTAGCCACTCCATCCTTCAAGATATACAAATACTGGGACAAAAGTAGGGCTCTTACATTTCACAGATACTTTTTTCCGAAAATAGTTCTTTTAGTATTGTGTCTATAGTTCTTTTAAGTTTGGGTGTATGTGGGTTAATGTGATTAATTACAACCTGTATTTTAATTAATTGATGAAAAACTCTTACAGAGACATGAGACTTCCAGAACATTAGTGTGAGGAACTTGGGGAAAACTCTTCCTTGATATGGCATCTATTAAGCTGTTCAAAATTTGCAAATACAGTCATTAAAAACTTCTGGAGTTTCTTTCATGAGCTTACAACAAATTGACAAAATTGGTAAAATTTAGTAAAAATCTAAAGAGCTCAATAGGGCAGCTTGAGGCTGTTCCTATCTGCTCGCTGCTTTTCCTTGAGGAAGAACAGTTGCATTAGATTCAGCAGCCAAGTGGCAGTCCATCTCTTCCAACACCATAAGTGGAGGGCTCTTCTGGGTGTATTAGGCTGACAAACACTGGCAGATTCCATTTACCACAACCCTTTAATGCACACAACCTCTATGAAGTGTGCGGTGGCAGTGGGGCAATGATGCCATTCTTCTACCCCCAGTTCCCAATTTCTAATGAGAACCCTAGTGGGGCAGCTGTTGAAGAGTGGAGTTCTTATCTCCTACAGAGCTCTGTGTTGCAGGACAGTTGTTCCAGTGAGCTAGAGAGTCAGATGTCAGCTCTAATTTCTTCCAGCTTCCTATGGCAGAAGTATTATTCCTAGTAAATTTGGCAGTCACTAAACAAGATATATCCCATATTCCCAGTTCTGGTCTGGGGAAGGTCCATATTGGACAGTTCCCACTGTCTCTCCACCCATACACACAGCTATTCTCCATATGGGAGGTATCTATGAGGCAGTGGGGGCAGATCAAGCTCTCACAAAATGTCCTCAACCCACAGCTTCTCCGTGTGGCTCACGGTGTGTTTTCAGAGGAGGGTATGAGCAAGCCTCAGACACTAACAACATCCTCAGCTCTTGCCAAGACACCCAGCTTTAACTGCATTAGATTGTGAAGCAATTTATACCCCATGGTATGGTTCCCAACAATGAAATAATCAGCTATAAATTAATGAAGGCTAACAGCTAGATTTTATGCCAATACAGGCAGATTACACAGAAGTTAAATGGCATATCAAGAAAAGAGACAAAGAGATCTCAGCTAAAGGCAAAAACAAAATTTAAAAGACAAAATAATATACAATAATATTTTATGTGTATTTTTTGATTATTATGGATAAATACTAATTGTACATATTTATGGGTTACATGTGGTATTTTGATACAAGCATGCAATGTATAATGATCAAATTAGAGTAACTGGAGTATCTCAAACCTCAAGCATTTATCATTTATTTATATTGGGAACATTCTAATTCCATTCTTATAGTTAATTTGAAATATACAATAAATTCTTGTTAGCTATAGTCACCCTATAGTGCTACAGAGCACTTATCCTTTTAAATGGTTAGAAAAAATTGAACATATATAAACCAGCAATTTTATTACAAGATAAATAAAAACATCCAGCCATACAAAAAAGTATATTTGTATGTTAATAGCAGTATTATTAATAAAAGAAAAAAGGTAAAAACAACTCAACTGATTAATGGATAAACAAAATATGTATCTACAAAATGTAATTGTATTTGACAATAAAAAATGAAGTACTGATATGTGCTACAACATAAATGATTCTTGAAAACATGCTAAGTGGAAGCATCAGGTTACAAGGACAACATACTGTATAATACCATTCATTTAAAATATATAGTATAGGTAAATCTACAGAAACAGAAAGTAGATTAGCGGTTGTTGAGGGCTTACATGGAAATTGGGGATGGGGAAATGAGGAGTGACTGCTAATGAGTATGGGTTTTTTTTCAGCTTATTAAAATATTACAATTGATTGTGGTAATGGTTATAAAAATTCAGAATATATTTAAAAAATGGAATTATATACTTTAATAATAAATAAGTGAATTGCAAGGTATATAAATTATATCTCAATAAACTTAAAGTAGAAACACTACTATTGTATTTTGCTTTATGACTTATCTTAGCTCAAATTTTCCATAATTAGAATACATTTTAATATTTTAGATCCATTTATATAGTATAATCACTACATACCTTTAATTATGAGAGTATGAATAATTCTATTTGCATTTTCATTATCAACTTTTACTTTATTACCTATAGTTTTAATTAAAACTAATATTAGAGACATTATGTACTTTTGTTTACACTTATCTGTTTTCTCAGAAGTTGTCATTTTATATCCCATTTTGCAAAGTAGTTGTTTTATGTCTTCCAATAAGAGTGCATTTTTTATGATTTTTGATTTCTGAAATAAAATATTAATTTTAAAAGCTATCTGAAAAAGTGTTCAATATCACTAATCAGAGAAATACTAATCAAAACCACAATGAGATAAGACCTCACTCCTGTCAGAGTGGCTGTTATCAAGAAAACAAAAGATAACAAGCGTGGTGAGAATGTGGAGAAAAGATAAACCTTGCACACTGTTGGGGGAAATGTAAATTAGTATGGCTATTATGGAAAACAGTATGGAGATTGCTAAAAATTTAAAAAAAAGAAATACCTTATTATATAGCGATCCAACTACCAGGTATATATGCAAGTGAAATGTAATTAGGATCTTAAAAGATATCTTCATTCCCATGTATATTGCAGCATAATTCACAACAGCCAAGATATGGAATCAATCTAAGTGTCCATCAATAAATGAATGAATACAGAAAATTTGGTATTTATACACAATGGAATAGTATTCAGCCACAAAAGGAAGAAAATCTTGTCATTTGTGAAACATGGATGAATCTGGAGGACATTAAGTGAAATAAGCCAGGTATAGAAAGACAAATACTGCATGCTCTCACTGATATGTGAAATGTAAAATGATCAAACTCATAGAAACAAAAGCAGGCTGTTGGTTACCAGAGACTTGGAAGTGAGGAAAATGGAGAGATACTGTTCGAAGGGTACAAAGTTGCATTTAAACAGAAAGAAAAAGTATTTGAAGAGATAAATATGTTCATTATTTTAATTCCATCATTCCAGGCTGTGTATCTTTGTGTGTGTATATATGTCTATAAAAATGTAATTATATACAATTATAAGTTGTTAAATGAAAAATTATTTTTAAAAATTAACATTTAAAAATTGGCCTATTGGGACCATTTTCTTTTATTTAATATTTTCTAATTTGTAATATATAAATTGATTTGGTATTTTCATTATTAATTACATTTAAATAAGGCCATATATTTGAATCTGAATCTCTACTTCTGTATCTTCATACTAAGAAGTTATTTTTATTGCCTTATTCTCTGCTTAAATAATTCACTTGACTAAATAGTAACCCCCAGGTCATATTTCCTCCTTCATTAAGTTTTTCTTTGTTAAATTTTAGATGGTTAGACTCAGTTTTTCCCACTTGTCCTATGTTTATTATGGAAATTATTATATTAGTTTACATAGATTACCTAATCATACATAAATATTTTGATCCTATTAGTTCCTTTATTTATATTTAGTTCTGTGATTCAATAAGTTTAATTCTCAATATCATTCATTTTATCCAACTAAATTTTGACTCCTTATTTGTTTTTATTAATTTTTATGTTGGCTGGAAATCTCCCCTTTGTACAGATTTTCAACATAGTCATTTTTCAGGTGGCACTCTCACTGAGCTCATTTCAGCTCGATGATATTTTTGCTCCTTTAGCAAATAAATTTAAAATATGGCATTTTAGATCTTCTCTTAATTTTTTCCCTTCCTTTTTCTTCTTTCTCTTTTCTTCCCTTCCCTACTCTTTTCTCCTTTATTCCCCTACCACTTCCTCTTTCTTTCTCCCTCTTATACACACACATACATACACACACACACACCCGCACACACCACAAATTACCTGATTGATCATACTCCATTGATAATTGTGGCTATGAGATTATTTTGTTCACTAGAGTACCATTCACAAAATATTCCACTGGAGGAGAGTGCAAAGCATGGACCATTCAAAGTTATGGGATTAAAAACAACACAAAACAATAAAACACAAAAATCTAATTTCCTCAGAAAAGACTTATTCTACCATGTTAGACATATTAAGGTATTTATTCAATTCAGAAAAGATGTCTTAAAATACAACTTATTATTTTTGCTTTATATACACTTGATTTAGATACAGTGATACTAAATTTCTACACTTTAGATCTGATCTTTCTTCTATTTGTTTACTTTCTAAGTGCTTTAGTTCTTGGCATACAAATTTGTAACCTGAAAAATGTCTTATTTTTACTCAGTATCATTGAATTTATTTGTGATGTTGATTTTTCTATTCAGGGTTTTTAGTTTAGGTATAATTATCTTATCGGATTCACACAATTTTTATACTACATTATACCAT
Source organism: Homo sapiens (assembly GCF_000001405.40). Lineage (NCBI taxonomy): Eukaryota > Metazoa > Chordata > Mammalia > Primates > Hominidae > Homo > Homo sapiens. The sequence goes on from NC_000009.12 coordinate 103,053,630, forward strand.
TAAGAGCTACTTTAATTCTCTCTTATGCAGGTCACATTTCAATATCTATTATCTGATTTTCCATTGCTGATTTAATAATAGAGCAATATATAATAAATAATACAATGTATACGATAGCTTAACTTTATGTTTTTATACTGGTGTAAGTTGTTTATTAGTAGTACATGTATTACTTTCCCTATGTTCTACATAGTAGACTATTTCAACAGTTTTCATGTAATATTATTCTATGTTTGTGAGTGTGAACTAGGAGAGATGCATATGTACTAATGAGTAGATTCCCTTCTGTCCCTGCACTTCCCCCCAATAATATTGTTAAAAAACAAAACACTAAAATTATTTCCTGTCCTAATACTGAAGGCTGATGGTTGGAAAAGCACATTGACAAGTTGGAAATCCTGAAGCCTGAGAGGATAAAAGGAATTAGAAGCTGAAGTAAACCCAGACAGAGGCAGCTTTGCTCTATTTCTTCTTAGATTCTTAGCTATACTAGAAGCCCACATTCCATACGTAGATAATTTTCCTGATAGAAAAATAACGTGTCTTCTTCCTAATTTTACACTTACTTTAAGTAGAAAGATAAAAGAAAGTTATTAGTCACTCACCCACAAGTTTCATGAAATCCAATATCTCAGTTTAAAAAGAACTATTCTCACTTTTTAAATATAATTTAATTAGAAGAGAACACTGAATCCTGCCTATTATTTTTGCATATCAGTTTATTAGTGTTCTTCCTTTCAAAGCATTAGAATGAAAATACATAACTCAATATGCACATACTTTTTTTTTGTTTTTGAGACGGAGCACTCTGTCACCCAGGCTGGAGGGCAGTGGCAGAATCTTGGCTCACTGCAACTACTGCCTCCTGGGATTCAAAATCACTCACAGTAGTATTGCATAATTTATGAAAGATTTCTTCCAAAGGTGTCACTTTGATCCTCCCTCCCTCATGAGCAGCCCCAATATCAATAGATTAAATAAACTATAAAAACATACAGGCTTCTGCTTTCATCTCTGACATACAAAGAACTTAGAAGAAGTCGTTTCAAATTGTCCTTATAAGAAGATGCTGAATAGACTAAAAATCAATTACTTTTCTTGAGTCTGATTTTGCTGGGCAAACCATCCACACAGAGTCAGGAGAGAAAGGTGAATCCAGAGTCACAGCTGAGATCTGCTTACGTGGAGCAAAAGCCTCTGAAGCCATAAAATGATAGGGGCACTTAAAGATTAATTTTTAACAAATTGCTGAGTATTATCCAGCATAAGAGGGAGAAACTTCTAGAATGTCCTGGAAACTGCAGCCTTAGGTTGACATCCACACTTTCATGACCTTTGCTTCCAGAAATCTCACCTAGTTCTTGCAGTAACAACAATGGTGAGAAAGATCTCATATGTCTGTGAGGTAGAAGAGGAGAATATTCATTGAGAAATAGAGTTGGTCTCTTTATAAAAAAGGCTCATCCTCTGGGAGAAAAGCTTCTCCAGAACTCTGTCCACAGTTGTGGAGATGAGTGATTCCTCCCATTCTAGCACCCTCTAGCCTTCCTATATCACCTGAGGGGAGAGGGTATTATGCAAGAAGAAACACTTGTGAAGGGAACAGTATAGAAGGACAGGTTTACTAAAAGACTGAGATTTTAATTGGAGGATTATAGAATCTGCCACCTTCCCCGTAGCATATAACCACACCTAAAGAATTCTAGTAAAATACAGATTACAAAAGTGTAATTGTATGCATAATATTTGAGGTATTTTGAAGTTAATAATGACTGAGTACTTTCCAAAATTAAAGATGAAGACCAAAACACAAATCTAAGAAAGAGCATATCAATGACAATTAAAACAAGCACCACCATCTACATAGCATATGAGTATCATATCGTACAGAATACCAGAGACGAAGAAAAAAATATTCAAAAATACCAGGGAGTAGGAGGTACTTTACCTGTAAAAGAACAAGATAAATAATACTCAACAGCCTTCTCATCAGAAACTAAAATAGTAAGAAGAGAGTGAGTCATATATTTAAAGTATTGTAAGAAGAAAGAAACCAGCTGAACATTTTATAACCAGTGAAATTATCCTTTAAATGAACCCAAACTAAGAATTAATTGACAGCAGATTTTCCTTACATGATAGATGATATGGTTTGCCTGTGTCTCCACCCAAATCTCATCTTGAATTGTAGCTCCCATAATTCCCATGTGTCATGGTTGAGACTCAGTGGAAGGTAACTGAATCATGGAAGTGGGTCTTTCCTGTGCTGTTCTCGTGGTAGTTAATAAGTCTCATGAGATCTGATAGTTTTATAAAGGTGAGTTCCCCTATGTAAGTGCTCTCTTGCCTGCTGCCATGTAAGATGTAACTTTGCTCGTCATTCGTCTTCCACCATGGTTGTAAGGCCTCCCCAGCCATGTGGAACTATCAGCCAATTTAACCTCTTTTCTTTATAAATTACCCAGTCTTGGGTATGTCTTTATTAGCAGCGTGAGAACAGACTCATACAATAGATTAAGCAATTTTCTTTAGACAGAGGGGAAATGACGCTGGTTAAAAAGTTGGAATTACACAAATAAAGGAAGTGTGTTCGGGAAGTAATAATATAAGATAAAATAAAATATTAATTTTTGTATTAATAATCTAAAATATACAACTGTTTAAAGTAATAATTGTAAGAATAATAGCATACAAAATGAAATGATTGAGAGCAGTTTCATGAGGGATGAGATAAAAGAATTGGGAATGTTCTAGTACAAAATATCTCCAAAACACATGAGAGAGTACTTAAGTATCTGATGGTGTACCTCAGTTAGTTCAAATCATTTGTAAGCACTAGGGCAACCATTAATGTTTTTAAAAGGAAGCATAGTTAACACACCAATGTGAGAAGTAAAAATGAAATCTCATAAAATGTTCAAGCAAAACCAGAAAGGAAATGAAGCCTCTGGAAATTGACAGAAATCTGTCACAAACATAATTAACAATCCAAATATATTGATAATAACTTAAACTGCAAATTATCTAAAAACACCAATTAAAAGCTGAGATTGTCAGAGTACATAAAAAGATACATCTACAGTTGAGTCTTCAACACATAGTTTTAGACTAGGCAGGTCCACTAATACGCAGATTTTATTCTGCATCTGCTACCAATGAGAAAACAGAACTAACCTCTCCTGTTCCTCCTTCTCTTTGGACTATTCAACATCAGGATTATGAGGATGAAGACCTTTATGATGATCCACTTCCATTTAAGCATAGTAAATATATATTATTTTCCTTATAATTTTCTTGGTAACATTTTTGTTTTCTCTAGCTTCCTTTATTATAAGAATATAGTATATAATGCATATAACATACAAACATGTTAATCAACTGTTTATGTCACCAGTAAGGCTTTTGGTCAACAGTAGATTATTAATAATTAAATTTTTGAGAAACCCAAAATTATGCATGAATTTTTACTGCAGAGAAAGGGCAGTGTCCCTAATTTCCATGTTATTTAAAAGTCAATTGTTTATCTTCTACAGAAAACCTGCATTAAATTTAAAGGAACATAGATTAAAGCCAAAGGGATGAAAAATATATATCAAAAACACCGCACTCCAGGCTGGACAACAAAGTGAGACCCAGGCTCAAAAAGCAAATAAACGAACAAATTCAATGAAAAACCTGACAGAGCCACAAGAAAAAATAGATAAATTTACTCTCTAGTTAAAATTTTAACATTATCTATCAATAGTGCATAGATCTAGCAGGAACAAAATCATTAAGGTATAGATGACCTGAAAATGTCTATAAATCGACTTGGTCTAATTGACATTTATAAAATTCTCCATCTAAGAACTATAAAATACTCAAGCTCAATCATATTCTCAGGCTCATGCAGAATGTTTACCTAGAGGGACTACATCCTAGACTACATACTTTAATATGTTTTTAAAAAATAAAAAATCAAGCAAAGTACGTTTTCTGACCATAAAGAATTTAAACCAGAAATCAATTAGCACAAAGACAGAGGAAGAAAATCAAATATTTGTAAATTAACAGCACATTTAACTAACACACAGGACAAAGAATAAATCTCAAAAGGAATCAAAAAATATTTTGAACTAAATGAAAACTAAAATACAACTTATCAACTTTTTTGTATAGTGAATGCAGGTATAGAAGGAAATTATATTCATACATTGGTAATGAAGAACTATCTAAATGTATTAGCCTACATTTCCGTATTAGAAAACTAAAGAAAGAGATTCATTTAATGCTAAAGCAAGAAAAAGAAAATAAAATCATAAAAATTATGGCAAACGTTACTGAAATTGAAAATAAAAAATATGGAAAATCAACAAAAAACAATAGCTGATTCTGTGAAAAATTAAAATTTTAAAAGCTACAAATTAGCAAACCAGAGATGAGGAGGGATCATCACTACTTCTCCCAAAAACATTTAAAGAAATGTTGCAGACAACTCTATGGCCACAAATTTCATAACTTAGTTGAAATGGACCAATTGCTTTAAAGACACAAACTCATAATTTCACATAAGGATAAACAAATAATCTGAATAGCCCTATATCTAAGAAAAATTCAATTAAGCATTAACAACTTCTGAAAAAATATATCATTAGTATCAAGTGGTTTCACTGTTGAATTCTGCCAAATAGTAAAGGCTTTGTTTCCACAAAACAGTGGCACAGGGAGAACTTCCTAACTTATTCTATGATGACATTAAATCATCCTAATATTGAATCCATATAAAAGATATAAGAAAGAAAAATTATCAATCAATATATCTCAAGAACCTAGACCCCCAAATTGCTCAAAAAATATTAGCAAGTAGATTGAAAAATGTATAAAGCAAGTTGTAGAACACAACTAAGTGAAACTGATTCAAGAGAAATCAGGCCGGTTTGATGTTCCAATTCTAATCAATATAATTTATAATATGAATATATCAAATGACACAGAAAAGGTATTTGAAAAAAATACATTCATGAAAATAAACTCTCACATAAATGTTAACAGAGAACAAGTTTGGAAATTTGATAAAGAATGTCTACAAAGTAGCCACAGATAAAATCACATCTAACTGTACATACTGGCTATTTTTCTCCTAAGACAAGGAAGGAAATAGGGATGTTGTTGCTTACTATTCCTATTCAACATCATACTGTAAGTTCCAAATAGTACAATAAGACAAGAAAAGGAAATGTGAGATGCACATATTGGAAAGGAAGATATAGAACTCTCTCTGTATTTTAATTATCATTGTTTCAGGGGGGACGTGTGCAGGTTTGTTACATGGATATACTGTGAAATGGTGAGGTTTGAACTTCTAATATTTCCATGACTGGAATAGTAACCATTGTACTGAATAGGCGATTTTTCAACATTTACTTCCCTCTCAGTCTCTCCCCTTTTGGAGACCCCAGTGTCTATTATTTCCCCTTGCATTGCCATGTGTACCCATTGTTTAGCTCCCAATTACAAGTGAGAACATGAAGTATTTGATTCGCTGTTTCTGTTATTTCACTCAGGGTAATGGCCTCCAGCTCCATTTATGTTGCTGCAAAAGACCCAATTTCATTCGTTTTTATGACTGCATAGTATTCCATGTTGTATATATACCACTTTTTAAATTACAGTCATCCATTGATGAAACTTAGGTTGATGTGATAATTTTGCTATTGTGAATAGTGCTGTGAAAAACATATAAATGCAGCTGTCTTTTTGATATGATTATCCTTTTCCTTTGTATAAATGCCTAATAGTGGGATTGCCAGGTTGACTGGTAGTTCTACTTTAGTTCTTTAAGAAATCTCCATATTGTTTTAGTAATGTACTAATTTACACCCCCACCCGCAGTGGATAAGCATTCCTTTTTCTCTGCATTCTCACTAATATCTGTTATTTTTTGACGGTTCAAAAAATAGTCCTTCTGGCTGGTGTGACATTCTGGATTGTATCCCATTGTGGTTTTAATTTGTATTTCTCTGGTGATTAGAATTGTCTTATACAATTGTTGGTCTCTTGTGTTTCATTCAATAAATGTCTATTCATGTTCTAGGCCCACAACTTAATGGGATTATTTGTTGCTGTTGTTGTTGTTCTTGTTGTTCCCCCTTGTTGAGTTGTTCATGTTCTTTGTAGATTTTGGATATTAGCCCTTTGTCAGATGCATAGTTTGCAAATAATTGCTCTTGTTCTGCAGGTTTTCTGTTTAGTCTGTTGATTATTTTTTATGTGCAGAAGCTTTTTACTTTAAGTCCTATTTATCAATTTTTCAGTTTTTTTGGCATTGGCTTTTGAAGTATTAGTCGTAAATTATTTTCTTAGGCCAATGTCCAGAAGAGGTTTTCCTAGGGTTTTGTCTAGTACTTTCATAGTTTCAGATCTTACATTTAAGTCTTTAATTCATCTCGAGTTAATTTTTGTATATGGTAAGAGATAGGGGTACAGTTATATTCTTCTATATATGGTTATCCAATTTTCCTACCACCATTTATTGAATAAGATGTCCTTTCCCCACTGTATATTTTTGTCAACTTTTTCTAAGATCACTTTGTTTTAGATATATTCTTTATTTCTGGGTTCCTTTATTTCATTTCATTCCATTGGTCCCTGTGTCTATTTTTATATCAGTACCATGCTGTTTGGGTTACTACGGCCTAATAATATAGAGTTAGGTGATGTGATGCCTCTAGCTTTGGTCTTTGTCCTTAGGATTGCTTTGTCTCTTCAAGCCTCTTTTTGGTTCCATATAAATTTTATAATTGTTTTTTCTAATTTTGGAAAAATGATGTTTGTAACTTGATGGAAATTTCATTCAATCTGTAGATTGCTTTGGACAGTATGAGCATTTTGACAATTTGATTCTTCAAATCCATGAGCATGAGACGTTTTCCCATTTGTTTGTGTCATCTACAACTTCCTTTATTGGTGTTCTATAGTTCTTCTTGTAAAGATATTTCACCTCCTTGGTGAAATATATTCCTGGGTACTTTTTTTTTTTTTTTTTTTTTTTGAGACGGAGTCTCGCTCTGTCGCCCAGGCTGGAGTGCAGTGGCGGGATCTCGGCTCACTGCAAGCTCCGCCTCCCGGGTTCACGCCATTCTCCTGCCTCAGCCTCCCAAGTAGCTGGGACTACAGGCGCCCGCCACTACGCCCGGCTAATTTTTTGTATTTTTAGTAGAGACGGGGTTTCACCGTTTTAGCCGGGATGGTCTCGATCTCCTGACCTCGTGATCCGCCCGCCTCGGCCTCCCAAAGTGCTGGGATTACAGGCGTGAGCCACCGCGCCCGGCCCTGGGTACTTTTATAGCTATTGTAAACGGCATTGAGTTCTCAATTTGCTTCTCAGCTTGAACATTATTGGTGTATAGATATCCTACTAATTTTTATTGTTGAGTTTGCATCCTAAAACTTTACTGAAGTTATTTATCAAGTATTGGAATCTTTTGGAGGAGTCTACGTTTTTCCAGGTATAAGAATATGTCATAATTTGACTCCCTCTTTTCCAATTTGGGTGGCTTTTATTTCTTTCTCTTGCCTGATTGCTCTGGCTAGGACTTCCAGTACTATGTTGAACAGGAGTAGTGAATGTGGGCATATTTGTCTTGTTCTAGTTCTTAGGAAGAATTCTGTCAACTTTTCTCCATTCAGTATGACATTGACTACGGGTTTTTCATAGATGTCTCTTACTATTTTCAGGAATATTTCTTTAATGCCTAGTTTGGTGAGGGTTTTTTATCATGAGATGTTGAATTTTATCAAATGCTATTTATGAATCTATTGAGGTGATCATATATGGTTTTTAAAACTTTTCTATATTGAGATGATTATCTACATTAAAAATTCCCCAAATTTTAAAAGTAATAATAATAATAATCTCCTGGAACTAATAAATGGATGTAGCAAAGTCACATGATATAAAGTTAAATTCAAGTCAATTGCTTTCCTATTTAATAGCAATGTGTGAAAAAAATTTGAAATTTTAGACAACAGCATTTATAATAGTACCTCTCCTAATACACACTTAGATATAAATATTTTTAAAATATTGTACATGATCTCTATGTGGGAATGTGAAAACAAATAGAAAATGATAGTAATATGAAATAATATCCAAATAAATGAAGAAATAGTCCATGTTCATGGATTAGAAAACTCAATATTTTAATATATCAGTTTTGATGTACAGATTTAGTGACATTTCAATAAAAATCCCAGAAATTAATTTTTATGAATTAAGAAACTGACTCTAAAATGTTAATGGAAAGGAAAAGACCAAGAATATCCAATGCAATACTGAAGAAAAACAAATTTGGAAGACACAAACTACCTTTCGAAAAAACTACCCTTACTACAAACCTATGTTAATCAAGGCAGTGTGATATGGTTAAAAGATTAGACACATGAAGTGTTTTATTTCTAACGAATGGTGCTAGATTATTTGGATGTCCATAAACAAAAACACAAAACAAAACAATACCAAAAAAGAACATAGAGGCAGACTTTAAACCATACACATAATTAACTATGAATTGTTTATATACATAAATGTTAAATTCAAATAAAAGGTCTTAAAGAAAACATACGGTAAAAATTATATGACCTTGGATTTACTGATGACATTTTAAGTATAAGAATAGCACTATCCATGAGAAAAGAGATAAACTGGACTATACTAAAAATAAAAGATTTCTGCTCTGTGAAAGATACTCAGGAGAATGAAACAGCAAACCACAGAAACAGAGTGGCAGAAAATATTTTCAAATCATATGTCTGGAAAAGGACTTATATCCAAAATATTCAGTGAACCCTTAAAACTTAAAAAGTTTGAATAGGCATCTCAAAAAAGACGTTATACTGATGGCAGATAAGCATAGGGAGAAATGTGCTACATCATTTGTCATTAGAAAGTTTAGAATTAAAACAGAAATTACTTACCACTACATAAACGTTAAAAGGACAATGTCAACTGCTGGCCAGGATGTGGGAAAAAGGAACTTTCATTTATTAATGATGGAAATGCAAAATATTACAGACGTTTTGTAAGATTTTGCCAGTTTCTTAATCTTATACAAATAATATAGTCTTAATTTGCCATTCACCAATTACACTTCTAAGTTGTTTCAAAACTTAGGTATATACCAAATCCTGGACATAAATATTTATAGGAGTTTTATTCATAAAGTCAAAAACTGGAAACAAGCACAACATCTTTCAATAGGTGAATGCACACAAACTATACTATATATCCATGGACTGTTACTCAGTGATAAAAAGAAACGAGTTATCAAGACGTAAAAAGGCATGAAAGAATCTCAACGCATATTGCGAAGTGAAAGAAGCAAGTCTGAAAAATCTCTCTCTCCATGATGCCAATTATGTGACATTCCAGAAAAGGCAAAACTATGGAGACAGTAAAAAGATCAGCAAAGAGTTCAGAGGTCTGTGGAAAGTTTGAATATTTAAAGCACAGGAGATTTTTCAGAGCAGTAAAGCTATTTTGTACTGGAATGATGAATAGAAAACATTAAGCATTTGTCAAAATGCATAGCATGTTCAGTACAGATAGCAAAATGTAATATAAAACAATTTTTAAAAATATATAGGCAGTGTGTGGTCCTAAAATGGAATGCAGAGTGTGGCAAAATAATTGGTTTATTATATTTATATGAAAGAACCTCCCTGGAGAGAGTAGGGGAATAAGGTGCTGGCCATAAATTATGGAAATGAGTAGTATCTGTGACACTAAAGATGAAAAGAAAGGGAGAACAAGAGAGAGTAGCTTTATGGTAGAGAGACCTGAAAAACGTTAACTCAGGTTAGATGATCAGGTTGTAAGTGATAAATCATATTAATAATCACCTTTGATATGATGTGACTAGAATATCTATTTACCTCTGTGGTCTATTTCCAAAAATGCATTAGCCCAATTTTATCCTAAGAAAAATGTCAAACAAATATTAAGAAAGTGTTTTGTCTACAAAATACCTGCCATACTACCAAAAAAACCTGTCAAGGTCATCAAGAAAAGGATAGTCTGACAAACTGTCACATCTATGAGGAACTCAAGGTGACACGACCACTAAATACAATATATAACCTGGATGGGATTCTAGAACCAAACAAAAATTATAAAAATCCTTAGGAATTCTGATAAAGCATGGACTTTAGTTAATAATGACATACTAACATTGGTCCACTAATTGTAACAAGTACTAATGTAAAGTGTTAATAATTGCTGGGCGTGGTGGTTCACACCTGTAATCCCAGCACTTTTGGAGGCCAAGGCTGTTGGATTAGGAGGTCAGAAGATCGAGGGCATCCTGGCTAACATGGTGAAACCCTGCCTCTGCTAAAAATACAAAAAATTATCCAGGCGTGGTGGCACACACCTGTAGTCTCAGCTGCTCAAGAGGCTGAGGCAGAAGAATCGCTTGAACCCGGGAGGCGTAGATTGCAATGAGCCAAGATGCCACTGCACTACAGCCTGGGCAACAGAGGGAGACTCTATCTCAATCAATCAATAATAAAGGACACTGTGTGGGGGGTATATGGAAATTCCATATTATATTTGCAATAATTATGTGCTATATTTGAAACTCTAAAACAACGTATTTATTTTAAAACCTACATATAACAATAAAACAACAATAAAGCAAAAGAAAAATACTTCTAAGTTTGTGTCTTTATTTACTAGATGAATAAATGCAGTGTGATTGGCAGGTTGTACTCCAATCCAATATTTGAGGATATGAATTGTAGTCAAAGGAGGTTAAATTTTAGACCTTCTGCCTCCCATTTGTCCCATAAGTAAGACGCCTGTATAGCTTTCTGAATTCTGAATTAGTATTCTTTTAAAAGAATCTCTCATTGTACTAAGAGTTTCAACTGAAGGGTAAGCATAGGGCACATTTGGATTGACCCATAAGCCAGAAAGCATTTTGCCCAGGAAACTCTCTGTGGAGAAAGCTTTATGAAGAAGATATACAGAAAAAAAGGAGTCCTCTAATCCTATTTTTTAAGGGTTACATTTTCCATTTAGTTCATCTCTAATGCAGATTTGAACTCTTAATTAAATTCATTAGATAAAATGTTTGCTTAGCTATACAGGCTGATCCAAAGTTATAAATGTGCCTCAGAGCATAGTTTTTGATTTATGAGAAAAAACATGTTGAAAGCATTTTTTATTAAATCAAATTGCAAGCTGTAGCATTTTAATCGTGTCCTGTATACTTCAGTTTAAGATCGATGAACAGAATTTAAGATCAATGAAGCCAACTATATCATTTGGAAAAAAACGGTTTACATTATTTTGTTTACTGGATATCATAAAATATAAACATGTTTAAAAAATTTTATTAAAACTGAAAGAATTTTGTTTGAATTACTAAAAGTCACATGCAGTAACATCATTTAAGTGATATTTTTATCAAAAATATTTTACACAAATTATAAAGTGATTTAAGGGATTATAAAATTCCTGGAGTCATTTACTGAGGGGAATGTGATTATTTATAAAATTGTAAACAATGTCAGTGAAATGGAGACTTTTTTTTTTATTTCAATAGGTTTTGGGGGAACAGGTGGTGTTTGGTTATATGAACAAGTTCTTGAGTGATGATTTCTGAGATTTTGGTGCACCCATCACCCGGGCAGTGTACACTGTACTCAATGTATAGCCTTTTATCCCTCACCCCCGTCCCACACTTTCCCTCAGGTCCCGAAAGCCAGTTGTATAATTCTTATGCCTTTGAAGCTTCAGAGCCCTAGACCTTAGTCGTTTAACCAATAAACTCAAAGTAAAAACCCCACTACCTATATTCTATTTCTCCAATATACTAGGATTCTACCCCAATACTATCCACCGCACAGCCCCCCGCCTAAACCTAGTCATAAGCCAAAATCTAGTTTCACTTTTACTAGATTTAATTTGATTAGAGAAGTCAATACCTAAAACAATCTCACAATCTCAATGTTTTGTTTTCCATTCCTGGGTTACTTCACTTAGAATAATGGTCTCCAATTCCATTCAGCTTGCTGCAAATACCATTATTTAATTCCTTTTCATGGCTTAGTAGTATTTGATGGTGTTTGTGTGTGCACATATATGTGAATGTATGTATGTATATGTGTGCATATATATAACATATGTGTGTGTGTATATATATGTGTGTGTGTGGGTCGCATTTTCTTTATCCACTCTGATTCATGGGCATTTGGGCTGGTTCTATATTTTTGCAGTTGCGAATTGTGCTGCTATAAACGTGTGTGCAACTGTCTTGTTTGTATAATGCCTTTTTTTCCCCTCTGGGTAGATACCCAGAAGTGAGACTGCCAGATCAAATGGTAGATCTACTTTTAGATCTTTAATGAATCTCCACACTGTTTTCCATAGTGGTTGTCCTAGTTAACATTCCCACCAACAGTGTAAAAGTGTTCCCTGTTCACTACATCCAAGCCAAAATGTTTTTTTTTTTTTTTTTTTTTTTTTTTCTGATTTTTTGATTACGGCCATTCTTGCCAAGTATTGTGGTATCACATTGTGGTTTTCATTTGCATTTCCTTGACAATTAGTGATGTTCAGCATTTTTCCACATGTTTTTTGGCCATTTGTATAGCAGTGTTAGAGAACAAAGAGCACAGTATAGATGGTATATATATAAGACAAAGAGCAAATAAAAAAGTGAACTATATATATCAATAAATATAAATACAAAAGCTACGATAAAAAAGCTGTCAGAATTTATTTAAAAATCTAATTAAATCTTGTATATAAAAAGCATGATTTAAGATAAAAACTCAAAAAGATTTAAAAAATGTTGAAAAATTGACATACTAGGCAAACACTAACTGCATAAAACTGGTTTGCTATAATATGATGGTCAAAGTAAACTAGTACCCAATAGGTATTACTAGAGATTAAAGGAGAAATTCTGTAAAGATTAAAGAGTCATAATAAAAGGAAGATATGGTAATTACAAATTTGTATATGTACCATATAAGTTGTTTTCAAAATATGTATAATGAAAAATCTAAAAATTGAGAACACAAATTCATAGTATTCAGAGATTTTAACATTTAACTGATAAACGACACAGACAAAAACAACTGAGTTTACAAAAGATATAAACAAAACTAAAAATATCACCTTTCAAATATCTACAGTAAAGACTGTTTTTAAATTACCTATATATTAAGATTAATTTTTTATAAAATACGGATTTGAAAAATGTTATTAAATGCTTTTATTTTTATTTACACCACTTGTTTTATTTTATTTATTTTATTATTATTTTTTATTTTTGAGATGGAGTCTCGCTCTGTCATCCAGGCTGGAGTGCAGTGGCACGATCGCGGCTCACTGCAAGCTCTGCCTCCCAGGTTCACACCATTCTCCTGCCTCAGCCTCCCAAGTAGCTGGGACTACAGGCGCCCGCCACCACGCCCGGCTATGTTTTTTGTATTTTTAGTAGAATCAGGGTTTCACCGTGTTAGCCAGGATGGTCTCAGTCTCCTGACCTCGTGATCCGCCCGCCTTGGCCTCCCAAAGTGCTGGGATTACAGGCGTGAGCCACCACGCCCGGCCGTACACCACTTATTTTATATTTACATATTTTAAATGTCAAATAATTGCTTCTTGCTTAAACTGTCTAGTTAAATTATAATTTTATCTAAAGTTTGTTGTTGCTGTTGTTGTTGTTTTGAGACAAAATCTCAATCCGTCACCCAGGCTGGAGTACACAGGCTCAAATTCGGCTCACTGCAACCTCGGCATCCCAGGTTCAAGGGACTCTTGTGCCTCAGCCTCCTGAGTAGCTTGAATTACAGGCATGTGCCACCACACCCAGCTAATTTTTTAAATTTTAGTAGAGACCGGGTTTCACCATGTTGGCTAGGCTGTTCTCTAACTCCTTACCTCAAGAGATCTGTCCTCCTTGGCCTCCCAAAGTGCTGGGATTAGAGTGGTGAGTCATTACTCCTGGCCATATCTAAGGCATTTCTGTTTTTTGTTCTGTTTTGTTTTTTGTTTTTTAAATACGTTGGTAACGGAGAAACAAGTCTCAATGAGTTAATTGCTGGATGAAAAATGACAAGAGATTTTAAGCAATTTCAGCTAAAGCAAAATATTCATTTTAAACTTTTATTCAAAATAAAGGAAGTGATTATTTTCAAAATGTTTTCAATCTTTCATGAATAGTCAGTTCTAACAATTAATACTGTAAAATTATTTTAAATTATGTTTTGATGAAATAAATTGATTCCAGATACACAAATTTTCCACTGTGTAAATTATTTTAAGGGAAATCAAAATTGAAAGCATAATATTAAATCTGAAAGTTTGTGGTAATAATAATGGCTTTCCTCCATGTGCAGTTATCTGTTTTAATGACAATTGTAATTCAGTTATGAAATATCATACAATAATATGTAAAAACTGTTGTTTCAAGATTCTAATTTCACCTTTTAATTTTCTCTACCATTGAAAAGACTGATGTACTCCTTCCAGGAGTTGGTGTATTGAAATTATTTAAAATAAAAATTGGTAAACATAATCTAAAAATAATGGAACCAAACTAGATTCTTAGCTTGCTAAAACATAGTTTAAATGTTTTTCAACAGAACGTTCCTCCTTTGGAAATCATTATACTTCAGCATGAAATGAAAATGTGTTTAATGCGATTCCATATTAACACATAAAAATAATAGTCTGAAATGGAACATATTAACTAAGCAAGAAACTATCATTTGTTATATAAAATATTTAAATATTGAAAAAGTGATGTGCAAAAATATACTTAAAAGGATTTAATAACATTTTTCAGATCTACATTTTACCTTACAAAATTAGTCTCAATATATAGAACATTTTTAAAACAATCATTACTACAGATATTTGAGAGGTGATATTTTTGGTTTTATTTAAATCTTCTGTAAAATCACTGTTATTTTTGTCTGTGTCATCTATCAATTATTTAATGAGAAATGTTAAGATCTCTAAATACTACTATGAATATGTTATTTTCTCAGTTTTTAGATTTTTTATTACATTAAATACATATTTTGAAGCCAACTTATAAGGTACATATACGAATTGGTAATTACTGTATCTTCCTTTTGCTATTCATAACTGTTACATGTAACTTTATAGTGTTTTCCTACTCTGACTCTGAATTAGCTGTATGTCTTTATTTGTCCCATGGTGAGTAAGCAAAAGTGATGCAAGGTTGCCGTAAAAATTACATGTGTGTGTGTAGGCCAGCAACCACTCTTGCATTTGAGATATTGCCATGAAATTATTCTTAGGCTATATGCTAACAAAAGGAAAACGCATTAAGTAGATTTGGATCATTTCAGTTGCCCCAGAAAGCAGCTCTCTTAGATAAACAGAT